>NC_000006.12:155828365-155979880 GCF_000001405.40 Homo sapiens
AAGCATGGAGGTTTTATGCATTAAAAAATTTACTCATGATATATTCAAGAGATGGGTATTATTTCTGCCATATTTCAGATGACAAAGCAGAGATGTTACAAAATGTGAGTGGATTGTTCAAAGTCACAACCAGCAAGTTGTTGAAGTTGAGTTTCAAACTCAGAACTTCTCACTCTGCTGGAGAGGCTCTTTTTGGCGTGGGCAGTGGCTAAGCCAGGAGGTAGCTATCAAGATACCTAATATCTGCAACTTATAAAATGGCAACCCTGCAGGGTTTTGTTGTCCAAGTTTCTGCGTTTGGCATCAAAAGTATTCAATAAACTTGATTCACTCTGTTTCATGTGTGCCTACAATAAAAGTGTTCATAAAAATTGCCATTGTGAGCTGTGCATGGTGGCTCACACCTGTAATCCCAGCACTTCGGGAGGCTGAGGCAGGCAGATCACTTGTGGTCAGGAGTTCGAGACCAGCCTGGCCAACATGGTGAAAGCCCATATCTACTAAAAATACTACATATATATATATATATATATATATTGCTGGGCGTGTTAGTGGGCACCTGTAATCCCAACTACTCACGGGGGTGGCTGAGGCAGGAGAATCGCTTGAACCTGGGGAGGAAGAAGTTTCAGTGAGCTGAGATGATGTCACTGCACTTCAGCCCGGGCGACAGAGGGAGATTCCATCTCAGAAATAAATAAATAAATAGAAAATGTCATTGTGATTTTTAAGAAGAAAATGTCCTTCATTTTCAATTATTTTGCAAGTGAGATTCCTGCCTCTTTGGATAATAACAGTGACTCACAATAAATCTGTTCCAACCTGTTTAAAAGTCCACATTTATAGAAACAGAGACTTGGCCTAAAAGAGAAGAACCCACAATAAGGAGAAAGAGATGACAGCACCTCTTACTTAAAATATTGAACGATTTGAGGGAAATGGAATTCAGAGTTCCCTTTTAAATAACAGCTGGAAACTCATGAGTCTAGAAAAATAAAGGACAAGGTTTGATATTTCAGAAATCACATCTCCCATCTTGCTGAGGAATTCTGCTCATACTCTCAAATATGAACTACGATGAGCTTTGAGAAGATTCTAACCACTTGCCCCACCACTATGCATACTCTACTTAATTTGGCACAATTCAAAGACTATTTCCTGTGTAAAAATGGAAAATGAAAGGAAAAAAATGTCCCTTTTCAAAAGACTGTGCCATTAAAATATGACATGTTGGAGAAATCCTGCCACAGACAATGTCTACTTGTTTCTGGGATGTGCTTAGTTTTCCCAGTTAGTAATATTGATTATTTCTCTTTATCCATTTGATTTTTCCTAATGCAGAAGTTTCTAGGAAGTAACCTGACTGTGATTTAAAAAATATCCCCTTTCACATTTCTCTGAATTTAACTTTAGGATATACAGGATGGCCATAAAAAAAACCCCAGTTCATGTAAGTACTTGAATGTTACCTGCTCTATCAAGTATGCACCACATTTGAAAGAAACAACTGGCATATTTCTTTGCTTATGTGTTTGACAAACCATACTTCGGCTGAAGAAGATGGAGTGAGATGAAATGATGAAAGACAGGAACACAGAAGCTGAAAAGTGACCTAGAAATCTTAATTTTAGCAATCATAGCTGTGTCTGAATTTAAGTTTACAGCAGCGGGGGTGAAATTATAGTACAAATTACCATGCTAGGCCAGAGAAATTATTCTCTGCTGCATGGTTATTAAGTGATAGATAAATAAATAACACTGTAGGACTGATTGACAAAATATAAGTGACCTAAAAGCTAAAAGGGGCACCATGCAAATAGTACTGTGTAATCACAAGGCATTTTAAAACTGAAATGAGATTTGTCACAGCAGAGAAATCTTAAAATGATATCTGCTTGAGCCATCACTAAAGTCATTTATAGGAGTCCTGAATCTCAAGGATCTTGCAACCCAATGGCCACATATTAGTGTTTATTTTTATTTTGGAAAAGGGCTACAGGTGAGCCATGGTGAATACAGCATGGACCTTAGTTGTTTTCAAATGCCGTATTTCAGCAATTTTTAAGGACTTTTTTTCACATCTTAACATCTCTGATATCCAGTGATTTCTTAGATTTGATTAAATGTGGTAGTAATGACAGGTATACATGAGCTCTTCCATATCATCTTCTATCTTGCTTGTTAAAAGATTTAAGTCCATTAGCATTAAAGGTGAAATTTACACCATCAAAAGCTATGTCCACATGTTGCACTTGGCATTAGCTTTCTTGGGCTTTGTTAGCTGACGGAACTCCCTGGCCCTAAACAACGCTGGAATGCAGTGAAATGAGAAAGCATGGTAGGAAACAGGACCAGTGTAGCCACTCCACCGGGTGGTGAGGATAACCACTTGAGGAAGCACCCAGTCAGTACTGTTGAACCATCTGTTTCCTTTTTAAATTATTTGAGAGTCTCGATATTATCCAGTGATACTAAATGTGATTCACATAGAGGATCTGGCTTTTGAATTTTACCAATGCGCTTTTGGTTTAGTTTATTGATGAACAGATGTTTGGGTCCTTGGAAGTTGTAATATCCTCTGCTATCTTTGTTCTCCCAAAGCTAAATAAGATAGGGACACAAGACTGACTCTTACGTATTCAAAATTATACAGCATTTACAAAGGGACAATTGGCATGGTGGCCTACGTCTGTAATCCTAGCACTTTGGGAGGCTGAGGAGGGTGGATCACTTGAGGTCAGGAGTTTGAGGCCAGCTTGCCAACATGGTGAAACCCCATCTCTACTAAAAATACAAAATTAGCGGGGCATGGTGGCAGGTGCCTGTAATCCCAGCTCCTCAGGATGCTGAGGCTGGAGAATCGCTTGACCCGGGAGGCGGAGGTTGCAGTGAGCCAAGATCTCGCCACTGCCTCAGACAGAGTGAGACTCTGCCAAAAAAAAAAAAAAAAAAAAAAGAAGTAATAAATAAAAGTTTAGTCATCTAGCCTATAGAATGAGGACATTTAACAAAGCAAAACCTTTGTAATGGGTTTCTCTGAGAGCTGAAACTTTCATTTCTGGTGCAAGCATTGAAGCTTATATCATGTGACTTTGCCACCAGAATGAGGACCAGTAGGAAATGGTTGATTAATTTGTCAAAATGGGAGGTTCCGAGAGGTCAAACTTACAAATTGTACTAACTTTAATAAAATACTAATCTTTGCTTTAAAAAAATTTGAAGGTCAAGATATGGTATAAAATCGTATTTGTTGAGTCTTCTTCGCTAACTATAGACTACAGATTATCTTCCATAATCTAGTCTAGTTTTCCTTTCTCTGCTCCCAAGGACAAGCACATTTACAGATAAGAATACATATGTCTAAACTAAACAATAGGCCTATGATCATGCTGAGGTGCATGAAAGGAAGGACACCTGATTCCGGGTCCAGTACTTTTGATGATGGTATCCGTTTGGGATCTGAAAATGCATATTTGTTTGGTTCACATGCAAAAATGTGGAATATCTGACAACTTGTGAGTTTGTTCTCTTTGTGCTACTTCTTGTATGATCAAGAATAGATTTTAATAATTTATAACTTTTGGCCTATCTTTAATCCCTTCTATTATTTTATATTATTTACTAACAAATTGTCCTCTCAACAAAATGTTTAGTGCATTCTCTTAGAACATTATAGCTCATTATCAATGTTAACATCTCCTTTCCAGGAAAATGTTCAATTTGCTATTAGAAATGACACAATTTACTGCAAGTTCAGAAAACCCATAATGATGGATAATGCTTCAGAGGACAGCCCTAGAGCAGCATTTTGCCCCTTGGGGAGTGTGTATCTGACATTTGACACACGGGCTGGCCTGGGCACATTTTTGGCCTTGAATTACTATACTTAACTTGCTTGTTTAGTGTTAAAATCTGGATTTATACAAAAAGTTAGTTTTAAAACAGATCTTTAGAAAAAGTCTTAGTAAAAATTAGAAACTAGTTGAGGATTATCTTGGGTTCTAACTGCTTCTACCTAATGTTTGAGTTCCCTTCCTCCTTTTTTCTTTGCTTTTTAGTAATCTTATTCCTATCAAATACCCAGTTCGTTCATTCTTTCTGCGATTTATCCAGCTTCCTACTGTATTGGACAAGACCTTCCCTCATATCGATGCTTAGAAATTAAACGCCTTGTTTTCTCAGAGTTCTGATTTTCTACTTGCTGAATGGATGAATTCAACAGTGATAATAGAATAACATCTACTAACCGACTCTTTCACACTCTAGTTGCACTCGAACTGGAGGCTATCTGACACATTTTAGGTTTGGGTCCACAGAGCCAATACTTACTTAGAAGACCTTGATTTCTGTCAAGTGCAAACTGCTTCTCTGCAGATGGCACTGTAGGACATGGCATTTGCTTTAAGAAGTGGCTTTAATGTAGAGTCTTCATGGTATGCTGTAAGTCTGTAAACACAATGGCAGTGAGTCATGACGCATTCTGGAATCCTCCATCCCACCATGTCAGCAGCTAAGTGATCACCACAAGACTGGGAAGTAAGATAAAGAAAGGATGTATTAGAAAAAACACAAAGATTCAAATTGTACGAGACTTAGTTCATGGGTTTCAATAACTCTGTCTTCTATACTTTCCAAACATTTTCTTTTTAAATATTTTGTTTTACAATATTTACAAGTCATGTAAGTGTCACAGAAAACAGAAACATTTTTAGCATCCTTTTGTCAGTTCCAGTCTGGCCCTTACATCTGGAAGTTTATTTACTTGCTTATGTGTGTATCAAAGCAATACACGCCTATAGTTTAAAAAGAAAGAAAGAAAACAAATTGTATTAAAATCTTCTAACAAATGTAAACTATTCCCTGCTTCACCCTTTCTCAATCTCATTTCCTGGAAGCATGTTTCTAATATCATTTGCTATTTCATAATCTATTTATTTTAGATGTTACTTACTGACTTCTTATTTTAAGAGAAGAGGGGAAATATCCTCTCTCCAGTTACCTATCTTTTTCCTCTAAAAAGTTACATCATCATATTTGGTTGAAATATTGTTAAAGAGGCCGGGCGTGGTGGCTCACGCCTGTAATCCCAGCACTTTGGGAGGCCGAGGCAGGCAGATCACGAGGTCGGTAGATCGAGACCGTCCTGGCTAACACGGTGAAACCCCATCTCCACTAAAAATACAAAAAATTAGCCGGGCGTGGTGGCGGGCGCCTGTAGTCCCAGCTACTCAGGAGGCTGAGGCAGGCGAATGGCGTGAACCCGGGAGGCGGAGCTTGCAGTGAGCCGAGATTGCGCCACTGCACTCCAGCCACTCCAGCTTGGGTGACGGAGTGAGACTCCATCTCAAAAAAAAAGAAGAAAAAGAAAAAGAAATAATGTTAAAGATTTTATTTATTTTGACCTCGAAACACTGCTTACTATTGAGCCAAGTAGTATACTACTTTTCATTCTTATGTAAGTATTATTACTTGTTCTCTTTCCCCTGGTCCTTTTAGCCTCATTTCTTTGTTCATACTGTTTTTTCTTAACCTTCATTTTCTGCTTCCTCTGACTACTTGTTACTCTGGAATTAGCAATTGCTTTGGTTTTTATATGCTTAGATTTCTATATATCTACTAGAAATTTTTTTATATATTTGTCAAATCACTATGAATTTTTTTCTGAATATTCCTTTTAACAGCCTTATTTCTCATGAAATGGACTAATAGTCTCTTTTTTCTAATACAATATTAGTGAGCCTAAGTTGAAGTTTTCTTCTGCTCCCTGTATTGTCCCTTTATCTTGAGTACATTATAGTGTTTATTTATTTTGATTCTGCCTTTCATGTTGGAGACTTTCCTATAATCTATGATGATTTTGGCTGCCATTCAGATTGAAAAATACATCACTAAGAAAATGACTGGAGGAGCCTATTTGCATGGAAAGAGTTTGTTATATGAGAGAGCTGCACTCTAGAGTGATAAAATAATAAATTGGCATTTTCATGTAGGCATGTAAATGTCCATTTCTGTGGAGTCTACTCTTGGGACAATTTAGTTTCTCCAAAAAGGGATCCTTGCTATCAGTATGAAAATCCCAACCCACACAGAGCACGTTTGTCACTGGCTGTGTGGAGGATGGGAAGGTATCTGGGTACCTAACCCTTCCTTACACAGACATCCAGTCAATGCCTCTGTATTCAGCCTTGAAACTCTCACCACTTTCCAGTTCACCTTGAGTCTCTCTTTGTGGGGTGAACAGCCTTGCAAAATTTCCCTGCAGAAATCTAAAGTTATGTTTCTTGTTTTGCTATATCAATTACCTATCCTCAGTCAGCTTTCTGTCTTCTCAAAATTTGGTAATATCTCTTAGTGGCTCCTGTTTTTTTTTTTTTTTTTTTTTTTTTTTTTTTTGAGACGGAGTTTTGCTCTGTCCCCCAGGCTGGAGGGCAGTGGCGTGATCTCAGCTTGCTGCAAGCTCCGCCTCCCGGGTTCAAGCAATACTCCTGCCTCAGCCTCCCGAGTAGCTGGGACTACAGGTGCCCACCAACACGCCCGGCTAATTTTTTGTATTTTTTAGGAGAGACGGGGTTTCACCGTGTTAGCCAGGTTGGTCTCGATCTCCTGACCTGGCGATCCTCCCGCCTCGGCCTCCCGAAGTTCTGGGATTACAGGCGTGAGCCACCACGCCCAGCCAGCTCTTGTCTCTTCAACCATTCTCTTTGTCTTTGAGGGTATATTCTTTAAAAAAAATTCTCTTATTATTTTAGTGGAATTCCAGAGGCAAGCATATATAAAGATATGCGCTCAATTGATTGATTGTTTTTAACTGGTTGTCCCAGCACATATATTGAATGGCCAAGAGAGGCTGGAGTAGCATCTATTTATTTCATGTTTTTATCACAACACTATAGTTACTTGTGTTATAGGTAGAAATAGATAACTTACTGTGTTGCGATAATACCAGATTATGCTAAGCGATAAATTGTATTATAAGTTTGAGATATTTTCCATCTGATTATTATATTTATAATAAGACTAAAGTAATTAGAGACTGTTAGCAATTCAACTGTGAAATAAAATTTTTCAATTAATTATATTTTGCATTTGGGGATAACTTTAAGAATACTCTGAAATCAGAATCTATTCAAAATAAAAAAATCAGTTGCCACCTGCAAGTTCTAATTGATGCCAATTGCAACTATCTTTAATATCACACAACTAAAACCTATAGAAATAAACAGGAAATCAAAAGTAAATGCAATTTACTTATAAATAAAGGGAGTAAAGAAGAATTTTATGGAAAATATATTATGCCTACTGACATTCGTAACCAACTTTAAATGTTGGATTTGTCCAAGCAGTTTCATTGTTCTCACATTGATTTTATAAGTAAAAAATGTTATAAATTTGAACTTAAAAGTAAATAACATAGCACTTTAATCTGTTTTATAAGATGAGTTTCTACATGAACATTCTGGTTGGAAAAAAATGTTTCTTGACCAAAACAAAAGAGAGAGAAAGAAACAGAAAGGAGAAAATGTTTGCAAACCAGACAATGATCTTAAGTTCCTTTCCAGTTCTACAATTTTATCATTGTAAGTCTCTTAAATTACTCTGTTTCACTTCATCTGTAAAATCACAATAATAATACCTACTTTTACAGAACTATGAATATCAAATTAGGTACTGTATGGGGAGCTATAAATTCCTTTAGATGTGTAATTTATTATTAATAATCAAATCTGTGGAAATAAGCAAAAAGTCCATGAAATTATAATAGAACATGCAATTTTCTCGTTCCTCTCCTGATATTTATATACAGAGTTGTCCTTCTATGTCTTCTTACATTTTTTAATCCTAACCTAAATAGTAGTGTAGCTTTAGTCACATGGTCGAAGTACGTTTGCTGTCAAACGCTGCTTCCCACAGAAGAAGCTCATGAGTATAATTATGCAGTTGTGCATTTTTATCAGTAGTGACATCCTTTTGCCAGAAGATTTCAGACAAAACTGAACTCAGAAGCTGGAAGTCCTCTGTTGTAGCAGCTGAGCTTCTTCATGACATATTCATAGGGGGAGGTGAAGAACCTAACCATGCAAGTCTGACCAAAATGTTTATGAACACATCTTCTAATTTCATACCTATTTAATTCTTCAGTTATCATCTGTACCCTCAAAACACGTCTGTCAAGGGTACCAGGAGTGTGCGGATCAGGAGTGTCCACTGAGGCTGGGTGCAGTGGCTCACGCCTATAATCCCAGCACTTTAGGGGGTCAAAATGGGTGGATCCCTTGAGGCCAGGAGTTTGAGACCAGCCTGGCCAACACAGTGAAACCCTGTCTCTACCAAAAATTAGCCGGGCATGGTGCCATGGGACTGTAGTCCCAGCTACTTGGGAGGGTGAGGTATGAGGATCGTTTGAACCCAGGAGGCAGAGGTTGCAGTGAGCTGAGACTGCTCCACCGCACTGCAGCCTGGGCAACAGTGTGAGACCCTGTCAAAAAAAAAAAAAGAAGTGTTCATTCAGTTGGTTTTTATGGCCTTCAGTGAATCTGCCAGAAATTCTGAGCATATATACTCAATAATTTCAAATGTTCTTTGTAGTTTCTTATGTAGAAAAAATGGTAATAGGGCCGGGCACAGTGGCTCATGTCTGTAATCCCTCCCAGCATGTTGGGAGACTGAGGCAAGTGGATCACTTGAGGTGAGGAGTTCAACACCAGCCTGACCAACATGGTGAAACCCTGTCTGTACTAAAACAATACAAAGTTAGCTGGGCGTGGTGATGCATGCCTGTAATCCCAGCTACATGGAAGGCTGAGGCAGGAGAATTGCTTGAACACAGGAGGCGGAGGTTGCAGTGAGCCAAGATCATGCCATTGTACTCCAGCCTGGGCAACAAGAGTGAAACTCCATCTAACACACACACAAAAAAAAAAAAAAAAAAAGAAAGAAAAAGAAAAACTGGTCATAGAACTTCTCTTTTGTTCCATTAGAATCTAGAAGTGATTTGCTAGAGAAGAAAGAATCTGTATGAGAAAATCTTACCTTCACTTTTGGGATCTATTAAAATCTACTACAAATATTTGTGAGTTACTGACTTCCACTATGAATACATGCACCATTTAACAACAACAAAAATAACCATCTGGCATCAAAACAGTTCACAACCTGTATCCAGTTTTGAAAACATGTCTCACGTGTTATCTATATTATTGTTAAGTGGATGTTCAAATCAAGGATCTGCTGCATCGTGGTGATATTCCTCCTGGATCTGTTTCTGTCCTGACATCATTTTGCATTTCCTTCCCTCTGTGAGTTTTGAGGTATGTTTACTCTGTGATGTCTTGGATCTATCCTTAATTGCTGGTGACATGTCAAATAGCAGACATAAGTGAGAAGTCTTCAGTGACAGGAGCCCTTTATATTCCATTATAAACTACCCGTTTATAATGGAAATCTAGCGAATAGAAACAGAAGCTGTAGTTGGCATTTTTAAAAAAAAGACAATAAAATTTCTGAATACCATAGGCTTGCCTTCTTTTCAAAAACCTAGGAAGGAGAAATCTCAGCACACGTGTCACTGAATAAGAACACAAGCCTCCATGAGCAGACTCTAAATGTCTGTTTCACACAACAATTATGCACTGGCTTCAGGAGCCCAATATCTCATTTCAAAGACATTCCTGCAAAGCTGTTCATTATTGATCCCAGAAGAGGAAAGAGAAGACCGATACAAGGACCACTCTGATAAGCGGATTGGTATTTAGAAAAGACACCTGCTCTTTATACACAAAACCAAATGGCGTCAACAACCATGAAGAGGTCTTAACCATGACATATAATTCTATAAATGCTATATTACTTAACGTAGTAATGGAGGAGGGACATTCAGGTTAATAGCAATTTACCATATCACCAATTTTTAATTAAATAAACTATTAAAAGGTACTCAAAACTACACTAGATGTTTTATTTTTAGGGTTTTTTTTGGGGGGGTGGACTTGTGATTCAAAAGTTACATTAGGCTCTTTTAGTGCTTATTATAGACATCATTATCATACACAGAAATATAAGAAAGTACCCATCACTAGGATCAGATAAACTTAATTACAGAAAATTAAATATCACTTACGGATAGTATTTCTCACCACAGGAAATCATTAGAAAAAGAAGTGGAATTAATTTAATATCTTTTTAAGCCCCTTAAAAGTGAGTCGCAGCCTTAATTGATGGACTTATGGACACATATTCTCTACTCAAAGTATGAACCTCATTTAAAACTCATCTGAAAATTGACCACATGGCCTCTATTGCAGTAAGCGTTGCCCCGTTAGCTCACAGTGAAGTGCTTTGCAATTTAGATAACTCTAATTATTCAAAATATATGCTTACTATTAAAAGGCTTTCTTACAAGTCTTCCCTTTCTTCCTCCCTGTCTTCTAACATTTTTTGTAACTATATATAATTTTAAGAGGTTTAAAAAATAACTACTGGAAATTAGGTGACTAAATAAGGAAGAGAAGAAAACAGAAGGAAGGAAAATAAGAGGAATCATGTGGCTAAGTCAGTAAGAAGAAGGCAGGACACAGGTCTTGTGCACTTTCTACAGGGAGGCTGCAACTGGGTTCTGGGCTTCTGTGTTTCCAAAGCTAACGGGAAAATAGGATCAAATATTTGACTCATAGAGTACATTGTATAAATAACCATTTTCCAAAAAATGTGTAATTATTTAGGAACTGCAGCCTGAGAAATGTCACTCATAAACATCATTCTAAAGCAACTAATATAACAAGTGTAAATTAAATGGGAGGAGGGAACAAAACTTATTGCTACAGCATCATGAATGGTACCAACTGTGACCCTAAGACTTAACAATGGCCTTTTCTCTTCCTCTTTATCTTCAGTTCCAGTAGAATGGACTGAACTCAATAAATGCCACCAAGTGACTGATCAGTTGCCACAAGTCAAAATTCTACACTGAGCTCCAAGTCAAATATAATTAGTGATCAAGGGGTCAGACAAGCACACTTGGTTTTCATGCTTCCTAGAAAAGCGGTGTTGCTAAGCAGCTAGCTCTTAAATCCCAGACATTATCAGAACACCAAAGCAGGAAATACTGGCGACTTTGTGAATTTGTGAGCGTTACTGGTCGATTTTGAAAAAATAAAGTGGCCTCCCAGTAACTGGCCATAGGTTATTAGAAGGGAAAGATCATATGGCTGTGCTTTTTTGGGGTTTTACATTCATGAAAATCTTTATATTTAGACTTGTCAGGGTATCTTTGAAGGAAGCCATCAATGTAGTCAGCATATTTGTGTATCTTTGTTAAAACATTAAATGTAGACACTTAAAATATACCACAATTTTTGTAACTTTCTTAGCTCTTTTTTACTTTTTACTATTCTATAAGCTTCAAAGATATACGTTGGACTTCTCTCAACTATTGAGAGGCCTTAGATAAATGCTAAGATTTAAAATTACGCTACATGCTCTCCCCTAGCATCATGAGGCTTACAGCCACAGGTAATAATCTAGTGATAACTAAACTGACTTAAACTGGAACGGGAATGTTCATATCAGTCTAGAGAACATTGAATTATGGACCTAGCAGTGATAGTGATGTGATAGACCCAAAGGCACCAAATGATTCATGTGGACCTCCTCAAACCTTACCAGAATTGATCTGTGTGACAAATAGCTGGCTGAAATAATGGTAAAACACTTCTGAGAATAGATTATAAAAAGACTGCAACTTCTACCTGGTTATCTCTCTCTCTCTCTTTCTTCCTCTCTCTCTCTCTCTCTCTCTCTCTCTGACACACACACACACCATTCACCCCCACGGAAAGCAAGCTAACATATTGAGAGCAGCCTTATTGATAGTCCCACATTATAAGAAACTGCAGCCCTCTAATAGCCTGTAATGAACTGAGGCCTGCCAACAACCACATGAAATAGTTCGGAAGCAGGTCTTTTGACCACAGCCAAGTCCTGGGATGACTGCAGCCTCATGAAATACACTGAATCAGAATACTCCAGCTAAGCTAGAAAAATATTGATTCTAAGTGGAAATTTAAGTATATATATTGTAAACCTGAGAACAACCACTGAAACATCTAGACAAAATGATATGGTAATAAATGCAATAGATAAATTAAGATGATATACTAAAAACTGTTCAAAATAAACAGAAAGAAGATAGAAAAGGGGAGGGGGATAAAAAAAGAACAAACATCAAATAAATAATATTATAATTAAGTCTAAGCATTTACATTAAGTGTGAATAGTCTAAAAATGCTATTTAAACTACAGATTCTCAGAATGGATAAAAACAATGACCCAGCTACATGTTGCCTACAGTAAACTCATTGGAAACTTAAGGATATGGGCAAGCAAAAAGTAAAAGGATAGAAAAAGATATACCATACAAACACTAATCTAAAGAAAATGTGAGTGGTTGCATTAATATCAGACAAAGTAGGCTTCAGAGCAAAGAAAAATACCAGAGACAGAGAAAGATGTTACATAATGATAGAAGTATCCATTTACCAGGATGATATAACATTCCTCCATGTGTACATACCTAAAAACAGATGACAAGTCACATGAAACAAAAACTGACAGAATTAAGAGAAATAGACAAATCTACAGTTGTAGTTAGGGACTTCAGCACCACTCTCACAGTAATCTGTAGCAGCAGGAGACAGAAAATCAGCAAGCATATGGAATAAGTGAATATCACCATTTACCAATGGAATCTAATTTATAGAATATTCCAGCGGGCATGGTGGCTCATGCCTGTAATCCCAGCACTTTGGGAGGCTGAGGCGGGTGGATCACAAGGTCAGGAGATTGAGACCATCCTGGCCAACATGGTGAAACCCCGTCTCTACTAAAAATACAAAAATTAGCTGGGTGTGGTGGCTGCACACCTGTAGTCCCAGCACTTGGGAGGCTGTGGCAGGAGAATCACTTGAACCCAGGAGGCAGAGGCTGCAGTGAGCCGAGATGGTGCCACTGCACTCAAGTCTGGTGACAGAGCAAGACTCCGTCAAAAAAAAAAAAAAAAAGAAAAAGAAAAGAAAAAAAAGGATATTCCACCGAATAGCAGCAGAATGTAAATTTTTTTCAAATGCATTTGGAATATTCACCAAGACAGATCTTATCCTGAGGGAGGTAGGGGTGGAAGTTGGGATAACATTTTAAACACATGTGAAATAACTAAATTAAATAATAAAAGTAGGTTATATAACCATAATAAAAGTAAAGTAGAATCAATGACAGAAAGATAACAGGAAAGTCTCTAAACACTTGCAATTTAAAATACTCTTGTAAATAATCATAGGGGAATAAGCAGGCTTAGAGGAAACTAGAAGATGTTTTGAATGGAAAGAAAATGAAAATAAAACATGTCAAAATTTGTGTGATAGGGCCAAAGCAGTGCTTAGAGGGAAGTCATAGCATTAAATGCTCATGTTAGAAAAGAAAAAATAAGTCAAATAAATAATCTAAATCTTTCACCTTAAGAATGTAGAAAGATAGTAGCAAATAAATCCAAAGCAAGTCAGAGGGAGGAAGGAATACAGATTAGGACAGAAATTAATGAAATGGAAACACAAAACTAACTAGGAAAATTCATGAAAATAAAAGTCAGTTCTTTTAAAAGATCAACAAAATCAATAAATCCTAGCAATACCAACAAAGAATAAAACAGAGAAGACAGAAATTACAAATATCAGAAATAAAAGAAAAATCTTACTGTACTCTGCAACCATTAAAAAAATAAGAGAATACCATACACAAATCTAGTTACATAAAATCAAAGATTTGGGTGAAACAGACCAATGCCTTGAAAATCACCAACTTCCAAAAACTCACCTAAGTTTAGAGAGATAAACTGGATAGTCTTATAACTTTTAAAGAAATTTAATTAACAGTTTTTAAAACTTCCAAGAAAGGAACTTCTAAATAGTGTTACTGATTAATTCTTATTTAACATTATTTAATAAATATTTAACAAAGAAATAAACCAATTCTGCACTATTTTCAAGAAAATAAAATAGGAAGAAATATTTAATAATTCATTTCATGATGACAGCACTATCCTGTTAACAAATCAGGTAAAGCCGTTACAAAAAAATCTACAAACCAATATCCTTCGTGGACAAAGATTTAAAAATTATTAACAAAATCTTAGCAAAGTAAATGTAGTCATATTTTTAAAAAACTACATCACAGCTAATTGGGGTCCATCACAGTAATGCAGGAGTGGTTCAATATTTGAAACTCAATCAATATTATTTACTATATTAGTAGCCAAGGAAGTAGTCTTATGAACATATGAATTGATGTGGAAAAAACATTTAAGAAAATTCAACATCCATTCATTATTTAAAAAAAAAAAAGACTCAAGAAACCAGGAATAGAAGGGAATTTCCTCAACCTGCTAATGAGCATTTACCAAAAATCCACAGCTAACATCATGCTTACTGATGACATACAGTATCTTCCTCCTAAAGTCAGGAATAAGGAAAGGATGTACATGCTCATAGCTCCCAGTTAACATTGCACCTGAACTCTTGGCTAGGGCAATAAGGCAAGAATAAGAAAGAAATGGCACAGCCTGAAGAACAATAAATAAAACTGTCTCAATACATAGACATGATTTTCTCTCTAGAAATGGGAATTTCTGCATAAGAAGTCCTAGAACTAAGTTAATTTAGCAAGAACACAGGCTACAAGGTCAACACAAAAATCATGATATTTCTATAAACTAGCAATGAACAACTGGAAGCCAACATTTTATTATAGCTCCAAAACAAATGGAATACTTAGATGTATAAATCTAAGAATACATGCACAGGATTGCTATGCTGAAAACAATGCTGATGAAATAAATCAGAAAATATCTAAATAAATGAAGCAACATATTTTTTGCATGTACTAGAAGACTCAACATATTAAAGATGTTTATCCTTTACAGATTGATCTATAGATTTGATGCAGTTTTAATTGAAATCCCAGTAGGATTTTTTTGCGATATAGAAAAGATGATTATAAATTCATGTGTAAAGTGAAGGAACTGGAATGACCAAAGAAATTTTGAAAGAGATGAACAAAGTTGGAAACAGATTACTCTTTTAAGACTTACTATAGAAATAAAGACTTGCCCAGATAAACAAAAGCTGAGGGATTTCATCAACAACAGATCTGTCCCATAAGATATGCTAAAAGGATTTCTTCAATCTGAAAGAAAATGATGTTAATAAGAAATAAGAAATCATCTAAAGGTACAAACTCTATGGTAATAATAAGTACACAGACAAACACAGAATATTATAACACCATCATTGTGGTGTGTTAACTGTTCATATCTTGAGTAAGAATAAAAGATGAACCTATCAAAAATAATAACTACAACAACTTTTCAAGACAGACAATATGAGATATGAATAGAAACAATAAAAGGTAAAAGCAGAGAGTATGAAGTTAAAAGTGTAGAGTTTTTATTAGTTTTCTCTTTGCTTGTTAATTTGTTTGTTTTTGAAATTGATGTTAAGTTTTCATCAGTGTAAAATAATAGGTTAGAAGATGTTATTTGAAAGCCCCATGGTAACTGCAAATTAAAAAACCTACAAGAGATACACAAAAAATAAAAAGCAAGAAATTAAAACATACTACTAGAGAAAATCACCTTGTCTAAAAGGAAGACAGAACAGAAGGAAAGAAGACCACAAAATAACAAGAAAACAAATTAAAAAATGGCAGTAGTAAGTTCCTACTTATCAATAATGACATTGAATGTAAATAGACTAAAATATCCAATCAAAAGACACAGAGTAGCTGAATGGATTAAAAAAATGACCAAGGATCTGCTGCCTACAAGAAATACACTTCACCTATAAAGACACACATAGACTGAAAATAAAGGGATGGAAAATATATTCCATGCAAACAGAAACCAAAACAAGAGCAAGAACAGCTATACTTACGTCTGACAAAATAGATTTCAAGGCAAAAACAATAAAAAGGGACAAAGAAAGTCATTATATAATATTAAAGTGGTCAATTCAGCAAGAGGACATTAATACTTGTAAATATACATGCACCCTACAGTGGAGCACCTAGATATATAAAGCAAATATTATTAGAGGTAACAAGAAGTGATAGGCCCCAATACAATAACAGCAAGAGACATTAACACCCCATTTTCAGCATTGGACAGATCATCCCAACAGAAAACGGATTAACCAACATTTTTAAAAGATCATTTATCATGACCAAATGCAATTTATCACAGGGATGCAAGGATAGTTCAACATATGCAAATTAATCAACATGATAAATCATATCAACAGAATGAAGGACAAAACCCATATGATCATTTCAATTGGTGCTGAAAAGCATTTGATAAAATTCAGCATTCCTTCGTGATAAAAGCCCTCAAAAAAACTGGGAATAGAAGGAACATACTTTAACATAGTAAAAACTATATGTGACAGACCTACAGCTAGTATCATACTGAATGGGGTGTGGGGTGGAATGGGAAGCCTTTCCTCTAAGATCTGGAACAAAAAAAGGATGCCTACTTTCACAACTGTTATTTAACACAATACTGGAAATCCTAGCTAGAGCAACCAGACAAGAGAAAGATAAAGGGCATCCAAATTGGAAAGAAAGAAGTCAAACTATCCTTATTTGCAGATGATATGATCTTATATTTTGAAAAACCTAGACTCCCCCAAAAAAACTATCAGAACTAATAAATTTACTAAAGCTGCAGGATACAAAATCAACATACAAAAATCAGTAGCATTTCTAAATGTGGACGCAAACAGTCTGAAAGAGAAGTCAAGAAAGTAATCCTATTTACAATAGCTACAAATAAAATTAAATAGGAATTAACCAAAGAAGTTAAAGATCTCTGCGATCAAAACTATAAAACATCGATGCAAGAAATTGAAGAGGACACACAAAAAATAGAAAAATATTCCATGTTCACGGATTGGAAGAATCAATACTGTTAAAATGTCCATACTATCCAAAGCAATCTACAGATTCATTGCAATCCCTGTCAAAATATCAATGACATTCTTAAAAGAAATAGGAAACATCATCATAAAATTTATATGGAACCACAAAATACCCAGAATAGCAAAATTCATCCTGAGTGAAAAGAATAAAATTGGAGGAATCACATTACCTGACTTCAAATTATACTATAGAGCTATAGTAAACAAAACAACATGGCACTAGCATAAAAACAGACACATAGACCAATGGAACAGAATCCAGAATCCAGAAATAAATCCATATATCTACCATGAAATCATTTTCAACAAAGGTGCCAAGAACACAGATGAAGGAAAAGGCAGTCTCTTCAATAAATGGTGCTGGGAAAATTGAATATCCATATACAGAAGACTAAAACTAGAACCCTATTTCTCTCCATTTAAAAAATCAAATCAAAATGAATTAGAGACTTAAATGTAAGACCTCAAACTATGAAAATATTAAAAGAAAACATCAGAGAAACTCTGCAGGACATTGGTTTGCCAGATATTTTTAAAATAATACTCTACAAGCACAGGCAAACAAAGCTAAAAATGAACAAATGGGATCACATCAAGTTAAGAAACTTCTGTACAGCAAGGGCAATGATCAACAAAGTGAAGAGACAACCCACACAATGGGAGATAATATTTCCAAACTATCCATCTGACAAACAATTAATAATTAAAATATATAAGGAGCTCAAACAATAGGAAAACATCTAATAATCTGATTTAAAAATGGGCAAATGATTGGAATAGACATTTCTCAGAAGACACAGAAATGGCAAACAGGTGTACAAAAAGGTGCTCAACATCACTGTTCATCAGAGAAATGCAAATCAAAACTATAATGAGATATCATCTCACTCCAGTTAAAATGGCTTATATCCAAAAGACAGGCAATAACAAATTTTGGTGAGGATGTGGAGAAAAGGGAATCCTCACCCACTGTTGGTGTGAATGTAAATTAGTACAACGACTATGGAGAACAGTATGGAGGTTCCTCAAAAAACTAAAAATAGAGCTACCATGTGATCCAGCAATCCAACCACTAGTTATACACCCAAAAGAAAGGAGATCAGTATATCAAAGAGATATTTGCACTCCCATGTTTATTGTAGCACTATTCACAATAGTCAAGATTTGGAAGCAAGTGTCCACAAACAAATGAATGGATAAAGGAAATGTGGTACATATACACAGTGGAGTACTATTCAGCCATAAAAAAGAATGAGATCCTGACATTTGCAACAACATGGATGGAATAGAGGACATTATGTTAAGTGAAATAAGTCAGGCACAGAAAAACTTAGCATGTTCTCACTCATTTGTGGAAACTAAAATAACAGAATTCACGGAGATAGAGAGTAGAATAATGTAACCACAAGCTGGGAAGAGTAGTAGGGGGGAAAGGAGGGAAGTGCGGATAGTTAATGGGTACAAAAATATACTTAGATAGAATAAATAAGATTAGTATTTGATAACACAACAGAGTGACTACAGTAAACAATAATTTATTGTACATTTAAAAATAACTAAAATAGTATAATTGGAGTGTTTATAACACAGAGAAACAATAAATACTTTAAGTGATGGATATACCATTTTCAACGTTGTTATCGTTACACATTGTATGCCTGTATCAAAGTATTTCATGTACCCCATAAATACATATACCTACTATGTACCCATGAAGATTAAAAATGAAAAAAAGATTTACTATAAAGCTAAGTAAAGAAGAAAGTGGGATGTTAGCAAAGGAATAGACCCACAGATCAATGGAACAGAATGGATAGTCTAGATATAGACCCACACCAATATGGCTAATTAATTTTTGACAAAGGTGCAAAGGTTTTTCAATGGAGAAGGATTGTCTTTTTTATAAATTAAGTTGGAAAGTCTGACATTAAAATTGGTATGCAGTTGGTATGCAAAACAGTAAGTCTTCATTTTAAACCTTACACCTCATGTAAAAATTAAAGCAGCTCATAGATCTACATATACAAAGACTAAAACTATAAAATATATAGAAGAAAACATAAGAAAAAATCCTTATGATCTGAAATTAGGCAACCAGTTCTTAGACATAAAAACACAAACCATAATTGGACTTTATCCAAATTACTTTGTGTGAAAGCAACTACTGAGAATTTAAAAAAAAAAACTGCAAGTTAGGAGAAAATATTTGCAAATCATATATCTGCAAAAGCCTTTATTCAGCATTCATAAAGACTGCTCAAGACTCAATAGGAAGCAAACACCCAACTGAAAAATAGGCAAAATACTTGAATACATTACACCAATAATCAATTAAGTAAGGCAAACAAGCCCATGAAAAGATGAGCCACATATTTAGCTGTTAGGGAAATGCAAAGTTAACTTGTGATAAAATCCAACTACACACCTATTAGAGTGGCTAAAATAAAAAATTGTGCCCACACCAAGCACTAGCAATGAAACAGACCAAATGAGACTCTCAAACATTGCTAGTGGGAATGGGAAACGCCTGCACGGGAAACACAGTTTGGCAGTTCCTCATAAAGTCAGACGAACATGTACTGCAAGACTCAGCACTTTTATTTCTTACTATCTACCCTTAAAAAATGAAAATGATATTAACACCACTACCTGTACGTGAATGTTTATAGCAGTCCCATTCATAACTGCTCGAAACAGGAAAAAAAAATCTTTCAATGGATGAATGAATAAACAAACGGTGTCACATTAACACAATGGAATACTATTGCAATAAGAAGGAATAAACTATTGATATCAGAAGCATCTTGAATTAACATCAAAGGCATTTGCTGAGTGAAAGAAACTAGAGCCAAAATGTTCCATGCTATGTGATTCCATGCTTTGTGATTTCATTATATTACATCCTTGAAAAGACAACGCTCTAGGGATGGAGAGGAGCTCACTTGTCATAGTTTAGAGGCTACGAGAGGATGTGACGACAAAGAGCTAGCAAAAGGACACAAAAGGAAATTTTCAGGGTGATGGAACCATTCTATGCCCTGGTTGTGATGGCGTTTACTTCAATCTATACCTGTGTTAAGAATATATAGACCTGAACATGCAAAAAAAATAGTTTCTTTACTATAATTTCAAAATAAAATATTTAGAAAAACCTATTATAAACAGTAAAATGACATATATTTCTAAATGATGGATATTAGCCACAAATATAATGATGGTCAGAAACATTTAAAATAAATCCTTGTTGAAAACTGGAGAACCTGAGACATTTAAGGCTCTTGAGTGAGCAAAAGTTGCTGAATCTCAATCCTTAGTTTTGGGACTTAATCTATAGCTGAGGACATTTCCAGTGTCTTTCTTGCTGGCAGCGGGGCAGTGACAGGTGAGTCCTAATCTGACAGAATGGGAACCAAGTCTTAAGCAAAGCTGTGCCAGCATCTGACAAGGCAGCTGACATGAAGGAGACAGGCTGCCTGCCTTGGAGGGCTCCTCTGCAGGGCACTGCCCACCACAGTGGAAACATGACACTCACAGCTTTGCATGAGGCAGATCTGCTAAAATTCAAGTCGTTCATTTGTCGCTCAGAGGATGCTTGCTCACTTTACAATTAGGAAGCCCCTGTGGAAAATGTCCCGCTTAACCTAATTTGCTCCTGGGAACAGGGTAGATGGAAAGAGATCTAAGAACAGACTGAAGCTTTTATGTAGGATGTAAACATTTTAAAAATAGCTAATATAATGAAAGAAAATATAGACTATATATACTTAAATGTAAAAAAAATATATTCCAAACAGCATGAGTAGTATGAAACACCATCTCCAGATGGACAGTTTATTTAGTTTAAAAAACAAATAAATGAAGCATATATTTATATAAAATATATAACTTCGGCCAGGTGCGGTGGCTCACACCGGTAATCCCAACACTTTAGGAGGCCGAGGTGGGCGGATCACGAGGTCAGGAGATCGAGACCATCCTGGCTAACACGGTGAAACCCCATCTCTACTAAAAATACAAAAAAATTAGCCAGGTGCGGTGGCGGGAGCCTGTAGTCCCAGCTACTCGGGAGGCTGAGGCAGGAGAATGAAGTGAACCCGGGAGGCGGAGTTTGCAGTGGGCCGAGATGGCGCCACTGTACTCCAGCCTGGGCGATAGAGTGAGGCTCCATCTCAAAAAAAAATAAAAAATAAAAAAAATACATATAACTTGGAGGCACACCTTTGTATATAAAATATATACTTCGCATTCATTACAACAAATGAGACAGCTCTTTATGTTTTGACATAATTTTGCCTAAGAGCTTTATATTGCCTAAAGAACATGTTGTTCTAAATGAATCAGTTACGTTAAAAATAATTTTGTATGAATTTATGTATCACATATATAATAATATAGAGATAATATAGATAAAAATGAATGCGTGTGTGTGTGTGTGTGTAAGCATAGGAAAAAAGCAGGAAATATTAATGGGATTAGCTGAAAAGTGGGCTTCTTTGCAGGAGATGAACGAAGCAGAAAAGGGCAGCCTTTCATTTTTTATGATTTAAAAACATGCGTTTCATCTAAAATCTAAACATGCACACCTATAACTTAACATGGAAGAAAAGACAAAGAGATATGTATCAAATGTTAACATTGGTTGTCTTGGTTTCATAAAATGAGATGTAAACTTTATCTTCTTTGTGCTTTTCTGTGTTACGAAAATGTCAGCAGTAGATAAGTATAACTTTCAAAAACAGTAAAACATTATTAAAGTTGAACAGAACAAAACCAAATCTATGCCGTAATGCCCTTTTCTAGACCACCTCCACTATAATTAATAATTAAATGTAGTTTGCAAGTGCCACCCTACATATATTTTCCCAAACCTTTTTTGGTAAATCTAATCTTCTCAACTATCAAAAGGATTGATAGAAATGTTACAGATTTGTTCCAAATTTTTGAATAGGGTAGAAATGTCTCTGCAACATTGAAGAATTCATTTTTCCCTTTCCATCACCCCTTGCTGCACACGAACCCTGCCCTCCTCTCCACCATTCCAGGTTATCTGTGGTTCAGGGTCACATGGTGCAATGATGTGGTCACATAGTCAGGATACACTCATCTATGGTTTTATAATGAACAGTCCCCAGTGTCAGTAGCTTCAAAGGATACGCATGTATTTCTCGCTCACGATGCATGGTTACGCTTTGTGCCCATCAGTGCTTCCCTGGGACTGTGCTCTGGGTCATTTTCCCTCAGACACCAGGGTGGAAGGACACTCTATCTCCATGCTTCCATGTTTGTTGAGGCAGGGAAAAGGGAAACATAATAAATCACATAACTGGGCTTTAAAAATTACTCTCCGAAGTGACCTGAGTCACTTCCTCTCACATTTCATAAGCTGTAGGAAGTCAAATGACCACACCTAACCACAAAGTGGAGGAAAAATAAAATCCTACCATTTGCTCAGAAGGAGAAAGGACAAAAACCTTTGATGAATAGAACTAATGACAACCATAGTCAGAATCAGAGGATAAGCAACAATTGACATCAGTAAGAATGCAACAGACTCAGCTCATTAGGTACATTGTTCACATCAAAGATTTGTTTTAAGTTGAGTGGTTAAATTAAAAATGTTGCACTTCTTCTAGTGCCCCAAAACTATTGTTCTTAAAAAATGAATTTGACAGGTATTATTTCATTTTTTTCTTAAAAAAAAAAAACTAAAAACAAACCCAAAGTGAATTAGTCATTTTCAGATAACAGCCACTACCAAGTAAATCTAGAAAAAGATTAGAAAAAAAGATTCTCATTAGGCTAATCAGAAATACTCCCATTAGCAAGATTTTTTTACCTATTTCTATTTATTTGTTTTATATATCTAGCTATGTTTATTCACTTTGCCAAAGCATTTTTGAATGCCTACTAAGAGCTGTGGATTTGGGCACAAAGTACTCAATAGCAACCCTTTCAATGTGATCAATGCCGATATTTAAGCATCATCAGTAAATAAGGTATCATTGAAATCTACCTGGAAATATGCATAAGCTGGCTTCTGGGTTATTTTAGCATAGATTCCATGCCTGGGAAATGTGATATGTGATGCATATAGCTCCTCGAGGTTAACAATGGCATTGACCTCAGCAACTTACAATTCAGAATAAATATATAGGAAATGTATATGCCACAGAATTTAAGAAATGATGATTTTTGACCTTGAGACTGAGTTTTGTCTGTTTCTAAAATGTTGGTAAGTCATTATGCTTTTCCTTCCTGCCTACCCACCCCATGGCTCACCACCAATTTAAAATATCTATTCTCATACACTGTCCTCATGTCACATCTGATTGTCTCTGGAGAAAAGACCTCTGGTTTTAGATGTGAGGACACTGTGTTTTATAATCTCCAGGGACTTATCAGAGATAAGAGCTTTTTAACCTACATCTAAGAAATAGATGTGCTGCATATTCACCAACATCAGAGCAACCGATTCCTCAAGAGGTTCGAGATCTCAGTAGTTGGCACTATTGCTGTTTATAGCCGTCTATTTCAGGTTTAACTAGACCACTCCTGAAAATGTTCCAAGGTCCAGTCATGAAATTAATCACTAACATAATAGTGATTATTTTCACTATTAACAGGATTAACATAATAGTTAAATCCTGCCATTTGGCGATAATTTTTCTTTAAAAAAAAGATCCATTGAACTAAAAAAAAAATATAAAAGGGAATAATGTGTATCTAATTATTAATGTACTATAGAAATTAGCTTTTATATTGCAATTTATATTGCAATTACCTTCTTTGTGTTATAAAGCAGAACAATACAGAAGAACTTCTTTATTAATGCCTAATAGCATGGTAATTTAAAATATTCAAGTTTCTTTAATAAGGTAGTGTATGAAATGTTACTTAATTTGACAAGATTAATTATACAATTAATTTAAGACTGCTCTCAATTAAATTAGTAAAAATTCTTAAGCTTGCTGCTTTTGAAAAGAGTGCTGGAATCTAGCATGAAGTGAGATACCTATTAAACATGGTATTAATTAAACCGTGATGAAATAATGCATGTTTTGTTAATATAATGGGCATTGTCAGATAGTTGGTAAAGAGGTAGTATTTCATTACTTTAATAATAATAATACCCCAGCTCTCTAAACAATTTAAAGGGTCTACAACAATACTGGAAAATACAGTGGCTTGGGATGGTGCTCAGAATTACTCAAGACAACAGTAACAACAAAACTCCTGCTCTGGCAGTCCTGAGTCAGTGTATTTTGAGGTTCTCTTAAGATAGAACTATTGCCAAGGGGAGCCTATTGGCCATCAAAATATCTCTGAGGTGGATTTATCTTGGTTAATTTACCGTGATCCGGGGTCTACTCCTTAGGTTTTCATGTCCAAAGGCTGAAGCTTCTCAAAATCTCAGGGTTACTTAGGTCCAAGTCAACTGAGAGATGCTAATTAAATTCCTAACTCACTGAAGTATAATCACCTAATTCTCATTTATATATTGACAATGGAGGAAATGAATCTACTATTCTGGGGACTCAGAAGGCCCAATTCCTATTTCTACAGTGACCCCTTTCATGCTGTCAAAGTACCTAGAAAAATCACTTTAGTGATCTAAAGGTTGTTTGGTGTACAAACGTGTTGAATATAAGTCATCCAGGCTATGGTGGAGCCAAAACATCATTCCTGTATCACATAAAACACCTCTCTAGTGACTAGAATGTTCCATGTTCCTATTATTCAGATTATCTCTCTCCTCTCTCTGCTCACATACCCCTTTGTCTCTCCATGGTGTACTCTGTACTAATTCCATGGCTGAAGGACAAAGGGATGGGGATTATGGTGCAGTTACCAGTTAGTGTTTCATTGTCCGTGCTGTGCAAGCTGACTAGGAAAGAGGGGCTAAGAAACTGGGAGAAAACCCATTGATCTGAGTACAGTTAAGTCTTGCTCTGGGATGGGAATCATTCTTAATATTTCATGTAACTTTGCATCCTTTGCATGATAAATGATGAATTTCTTAATTCAAACCTCATACTTCTCAGGGAACAGAAGTACTTTGTGTCATATTTAATCCAACAGTTTCCTGAGTTAGGGTTGGCACCCAGGGAAGACACAGGGTCTCTACTAGTTTATATGGAAGGAGGAAGCACTCTTTCCTTTGTGGCAGTGCATAATTGCATCCAGGCTTATGGTTTGGGAGTAAGAGCACAGCACCTACTCCTCATGAATTTCAGCGCTCCCTTGGCTCTAGGTAGGGGAGCCACTGAACAGTCCAGAACTGCAGTACAATACATGGAGATTCATTGAAGAGGGGATGCAGAGGCAGCATGTAGACTGCATGTAACAGTACTACAAGGGATTTTCCAAAGGCCACTCATAAGCATGAGAGTAATTAAAAAGTGGTTAAAAAAAAAAAAAGAAGTAAAGAAAAAAGAAAAAAAATTTTCTCATGAGAGTTTAAATGAACCCTGTAGGAGTCTTAGCTTCTAAATGCAGGTTGATAATCATTTATAAATTATAATCAGATTCCAGGTGAAAACAGTTATAAAAATAACTTTTTCTAATCTCATCAGTTTCAAATGAGAAAGAAAAGTACTATGTCAGTCAAGCTCACACAAGTCATGGTAGAACTGGAGCTCAAGCCCAGCTTTTTTGATACTCAATCTTGTGTATTTCACATGATATCTCATCATCATTAGGTAAATCCTGTAACTTTGCACACAACATAAATAGCTATAAATAGAATATTCCTCCATATTGCAAAAAACACTGAAAAATGTTCTCTTAATTCCTGTAATGCATACTCAATGGGTAGTTGTCCTAAGGTCATATGGTCATTATGGAAGCAGTATCTTGCGTTTGTTGAGTACTTAACTGTGTGCCTGGCATCATTCTAAGACACATCTCTTTCCTATTGATTTCCACTACATATTCTCCAACACAAGTGATGGCTCTAAGACACTTAGTATAAAATTAAGATTCTTGACATATAGTAGAAAGAGCATCTCATTAGTACTTGCAATTTACATGCATTTAACTCTTCTATCCAGCCGCTTTTCAGGTATTTAAAAGTGAACCGATTAACATGCACTACACACGGATTAAAATTTCCATCTTCCAGGAAGTTCTTGCTGATTCCACTGGTAGAATGTTTAAGCACAAACAATATAACTATCCTCAATTAGAGTTTAGTAGGATATAAAAAAGGTCCTTTAAATGGAGTTGCTCTGTTATCTCTCTCTCTCTCTTTTGACTCTATCAGTATTACACACACACACACACACACACACACACACACACACCACACACCACACACTTTTACTCCTGATCAAACCAGTCATGATCTTCTCAAGTCTCCACAGGGCAGTCCTTTCTGAAAATAATGGGTTACCTACAGGGACATTAAGTATTTAGCAGCCACCTACCAAGCTACTGCTACCTGGGGATATTTAATGGGGTTAAACAGGAAGTATCATGGTGTTACACAAGTGCACAATTTATTTTAAGAAAAGACTCTAAGCAGGAAGTTATTCTTTCTACCTAAAGCCATGTACAGGGTCTTCACTTTGCTGTTAGGAAGACATGGGCATTGCTCATCCAGGACTATGCAGCCCCCAAGGGAATGCGGGGCAGGTGCAGAGGATTCCGGCTAGAAAAAGAGATGCAGCCACCTGCAGCCTGTGTTTTCAGAGCAGAATGGGGTGTGTAGGGGGGACTTTCTGGAGAAAATCACTGACAAAGACCCCATACTTAAAACCTATGTTTTATTACCATGTGTCAATTAAAAAGAATCATTTTTTTAAAAATGTGTTTTAGGCAAGAACTTAATAAACAAAAGCTTAGTAACCATGAGGGCTGACCCAAAAGTGAGAAATACAGATTTTAAGATGAGTAGCTCATAGATAGATGAGGATTCACTTTGAGGAAGATCTATGTATTTTTTTAGCCCAGTTTTCTCAGAAGGGAAAACTGGTGTCTAATATCAGACTCATTTTGTATCCTTTATAATTTAGTGTATATACATATTGTGTGTATAGGACTCTTAGTATTAATAAAAGATGCCTCTTTGCCAGCTTAGAAAAATCTCCCAAATTTCAATGCTGAAAAATGTTCTTTTAATTCATATAATATATACTCAGTGGATAGATATCCCAAGGTGATGGTCACTATGGATGTCATAGCATGCATTTATTGAGTGCTTACTGTCTCCCTGCCACTATTGTAAGCATTTTGTATATGTTTCATTTAATTCTGACAACAATGCTGTGAGGCAGGTACTATGAATACCCTCATTTCAGAAAAGAGAGGAAATTGAAGAACAGAAGTGAAGTTGCCCACGATTATACAGTTAGAAAGTGGCAGAGCCAGTTTCAAATGCAGATACCCTTGCTCATGTCCTATTCTCTTGACTACTACACAATGCTAGCAAAAATACCCACAGACCCAAGCAAAAGACACAAATTCCTTTAATATAAGGAAATGAGATGAGAATCCATTTGGGCAGAAACAGCTACAAAGATCAGGCCATCCAGAGCCAAACTTCCAGTTTCAGAAGCAAGTTCCTGTTACTTCCAAGTTCCTAGCTGGTAACAAATCCAGCGTATTTCTGACATTAATCAAAGCTTGATTTCACAGTTGTAGTTGCTCCTAGAGGGTGCAGGATTCAGGAAACTTGAGGGCTATTCTTGGATCCTACAACAAGAACAAACTATAAAACTTTGTTTATATGTGTCTGCAGGACAGTGGGCTAGACTAATTTACTCCCAAATGACTTACTTCTGCACATAATCCTAAGCATTTACTTTGTTCAAAATTAAGCCTCACCAAAATAACAGATGATCACATCCCACCCTTTTGATGTTGTCTCCAAATAGTTAAAATCAAGAATGTTAACTTTGAGAACACTAATATTTTAAAAATTTACCTATGTCTGTCATCAATCCCACTTCTCACAATCAATCTCAAAGGGAAATGGTCAAAACTACAAAGTGATTTATGAATAAGGTTATTAATTTTGGTATATTCGTAATAGCAGAAGAAAGGAAACAACTCAAATGCCCATCAATAGGGAACTGTTCAATAAGCTCAGGTACAGTCATACAAAGGAATTCTATGCAGATGTAAAAATGAATGATAAAAATCGCTGTATACCAATGTGGCAGAATCTCCAAGGATACATTGTTAGGAGAAATAAGGAAAAATATGTCTCTGTGTGTGTGTGTGTGTGTGTGTGTGTGTGTGTGTGTGTGTGTGTATGATTGTATTTGGAGGGTAAGATGGGGAAAATACACACACTTATTTTTGTGCAAAGCCCCATTGGAATTGCATGTAAAAAACTAATACAAATGACTACCTATAGGATGAGGCAGGGAACAGGGGAGAAGAGATTAGGAGAGAAATGAGACTTCTTTAAAAATAACTTTTTAAATATTTAAAATAGCTTTGTAGGGGTAGAATTAGCGTGCAATAAACAACACATATTTAAAAGCATGATTTGACAAGTTTTCAGTAAGTTACACAGCCACAAAGCCACCACCATAATCAAGATAATGACATGTCAGTCAATGTACAGAATTTTCTCCTGTTCTTTGTAATGTCTCCCTTCAGCTCCTCCCCATGCCCTGACCTTTCCTCCTTCACCCACACCTCTGTGGTCTCCAGGTAGCCTCTGGTCTGCTTTGGTCACTATAGATTAGTTTGCATTTTCTGGAATTGCAAGTAAATGGAATCCTACTAAATGTAATCTTTTTTATTGAGCTACTTTCACTCAGCGTAATTATTTCAAGATTCATCATATTGTTGCATGTATTAATAGTTAATTCTTTTATCGCAGAGTAGTATTCCATTGCATAGATGCACTACACTTTCTTTATCCTTTCACTGACTGGTGGACATTTTTTTCTCCAGGTTTTGGCTATTGCAGATAAAGTTCCTCTGAACATTTATGTGTACATTTTGTATGGACATGTGCTTTCATCTCTCTTTTGTAAATACCAATTAGTGAAATCACTGGACCACACGATAGGTGCATGTTGAACTTTTAAAGAAACTAACAAACATTTTACAAAGTAACTGTACTGTTTTACATTAACAATAGTGTATGAGAATTCCACTCCACATCCTGCCAATACTTGGATGGGCAGTCTTCTTAATTATAGTCATTCAAATCGGTGTGTAATGCTATCTCATTGTGGCTCTAATTTGCATTTTTCAAATAATGAATGATATTGATAATGTTTTCATGTGCTTATGTGGCCTGCATTTCTTCTTGGTGAAGTGCCTATATCAATATTTTGCCCATTTTTTAAAATTGAGTTTTGTTTAATTTCTCAATAGTGAGTTCTAAGGGATCTTTATATATTATGGATGTAACTCTTACATATACAATATATAAATATTTTCTTCTTGACTTTATGTTATTGTTGCCATAAATTTCACTTTTACATATGTTATAAATACCACATTACGTTGCTATTTTTGATTAAGCTGGAAATTATCTTTTGAAAAGCTATTTTATTTACATAAAATGAATATAAAAATATTAGTTAATTAACCATGTATTTACCATTTCCAGAGTTATTTGTTCCTTTTTGTAGATCCATATTTCTATCTGGTATCCATTTCTTTCTGCCTGGAAGAATTCATTTTAATATTTCATGTAGTATGTTCTCTGGAGATAAATTCTGAAATTCATCCAACTGAAAAATTCTATTTCTCTTTGGTTTTCTAAAAATATTTTAGCTAGTGATACGGTTTGGCTGTGTCCACACCCAAATCTCATCTTCAATTCCCACATGTTGTGTAGGAGGGACCCAGTGGGTGGTAACTGAATCATGGGGAAGGTCTTTCCAATGCTGTTCTCATGATAGTGAATAAGTCTCATGAGATCTGATGGCATTATTAAAGGGAGTTTCCCTGCAGAAGTTCTCTTTGCCTGTTGCCATACATATAAGATGTGACTTGCTCCTCCTTGCCTTCCACCATGATTGTGAGGCCTCCCCAGCCACATGGAACTGTAAATCTATTAAACTTTTTTTCCTGTATAAATTGCTCACTCTTAGGTGTGTCTTTATCAGCAGCATGAAAATGGACTAATACAGTAAATTGGTACTGGGGGTTGGGTGTTGCTGAAAAGATACCTGAAAATGTGGTAGCGACTTTGGAACTGGGTAACAGGCAGAGGTTGGAACAGTTTGAAGGGCTCAGAAGAAGGCAGGAAAATGTGGGAAAGTTTTGAGCTTCCTAGAGACTTGTTGAATAGCTTTGACAAAAATTCTGATAGTGATATGAACAATAAGGTCTAGGTTGAGGTCTCAGATGGAGATGAAGAACTTGTCAGGAACTGGGGCAAAGGTGACTCTTGTTATGTTTTAGCAAGGAGACTGGTAGCATTTTGCCCCTGCCCTAGAGATCTGTGGAACTTTGAACTTGAGAGAGATGATTTAGGGTATCTAGTGGAAGAAGTTTCTAAGCAGCAAAGCATTCAAGAGGTGACTTGGGTGCTGTTAAAGGCATTCAGTTTTATAAGGAAAGCAGAGCATAAAAGTTTGGGAAATTTGCAACTTACAATGTGGTAGAAAAGAAAATCCCATTTTCTAAGGAGAAATTCAAGCTGGCTGCAGAAATTTGCATAAGTAACAAGGAGCTTAATGTTAATCTCCAAGACAATGGGGAAAAATGTCTCCAGGGCATGTCAGAGGTCTTCACGGCAGCCCCTCCAATCACAAGCCTGGAGGCCTAGAAAGGAAAAATGGTTTTGTGAGCCAGGCCCAGGGTTCCTGTGCTGTGTGCAGCCCAGGGACTTGGTGCCCTGTGTCGCAGCCACTCTGGCTGTGGCTGAAAGGGGTCACCATAGAGCTCGTGCTGTGGCTTCAGAGTGTGCAAGCCCCAAGCCTTGGCAGCTTCCACGTGGTGTTGAGCCTGCAAAAAGACAGAAGTCAAGAATTGGGGTTTGGGAACCTCTGCCTAGATTTCAGATGATGTATGAAAATGCCTGAATGCCCAGGCAGAAGTTTGCTGCAGGGGCGGTACCCTCATGGAGAACCCCTGCTAGGGCAGTGCAGAAGGGAAATGTGGGATCAGAGCCTCCACACAGAGTCCCTACTGGGGCATCACCTAGTAGGTGTGAGAAAAGGACCACTGTCCTCCAGACCCCAGAATGGTAGATCCATTGACAGCTTGTACCAGACATTCAACAGCAGCCCATGAAAGCAGCCGGGAGGTTCTGTACCTGGCAAAGCCACAGGAGTGGAGCTGCCCAAGACCCTGGAAACCCACCTCTTGCATCAGTGTGATCGGATTGTGAGACATGGAGCCAAAGGAGCTTTTGGAGCTTCAAGATTTGACTGCCTCGCTGGATTTCAGACTTGCATGGGGCCTGTAGCCCCTTTGTTTTGGCCATTTTTTCCCATTTGGAATGGCTCTATTTACCCAATGCATGTACCCCCATTGTATCTAGGAAGTAACTAACTTGCTTTTGATTTTGCAGACTCATTAAGTGGAAGGGATTTGCCTTGTCTCAGATGAGACTTTGGACTGTGGACTTTTGAGTTAATGCTGAAATGAGTTAAGACTTTGGGGGACTGTCGGGAAGGCATGATTGGTTTTGCAGTGTCAGGACATGAGATTTGGGAGGGGCCAGGGGCAAAAGGATATGGTTTGACTGCGTCCCCACCCAAATCTCATCTTCAGTTCCCACATGTTGTGGGAGGGACCTGGTGGGAGGTAATAGAAACATGTGGGCAGGTCTTTCCCATGCTGTTCTCCTGATAATGAATGAGTCGCATGAGATTTGATGGTATCATAAGGGGGAGTTTCCCTGAACAAGCTCTCTCTTTGCCTGTTGCCATATATGTAAGATGTGACTTGCTACTCCTTACCATGATTGTGAGGCCTCCCCAGCCACATGGAACTGGAGGTCCATTAAATCCTTTCCTATATAAATTACCCAGTCTCAGGTATATCTTTATTAGCAGCATGAAAATGGACTAATATAGCTGGATGTAAAATTCTGGGTTGACATTTCCACTCCACCCTAGTGCTGTAAAGATGTTGCTCCACTGTCTTCTTGTTTGCATTGTTTCAGATAAGCTGCTCTCATGCTTTTCTTTGTTTCTCTGCATATAATGTGTCTTTTTTTTTTTCTTTGACTGTTTTTTTAAAGATTTTTACATTTATCATTGGTTTTTGGCAGTTTTATTATAGTGTACTTGTTGTACTTGTCTTTGTGATTCTTGTGTATGAGGTTTGTTGAGCCTCTGAGATCTGCAAATTTGTAAATTTTATCAATTTTTAAATATTTTGGTCTATTATTTCTTTATTATTTCTGAATATCCCTTTTCATCCTTGAGAGAAACAATTACATGTATATTAGTCTGCTTAATATTGTCACAAGCTCACTGATGCTCTTTGTATTTACTTAAATGTTTTCGTCTATGTGTTTCATTTTGTAAAGTTTCTACTGCTGTGCCTTCAGGTTCACGAATCTTTTTAGAAATAATTTCAACTTTTATTTTGGATATAGGGAGTACAAGTACAGCTTTGTTATATGAGTATATTGCATGATGCTGAGGTTTGGGGTACAAATATCATCACCCAGTTGGTGAGCCTAGTACCCAGCAGGTAGTTTTTCAACCTGCATCCCCCTCCTTCCCTCTCTCCTTTAGTAGTCCACAGTAGCTATTATTCCCATCTTTCTATCCATGAGCACCCAATGTTTAGCTCCCATTTGTAAGTGAGAACATGTAATATTTGGTTTTCTGAATTCCTGCATTAATTCACTTAGGACTATGGCCTCCAGCTGCATCTATGTTGCTGCAAAATACATGATTTTATTCTTTTTATGGCTGTGTAGTATTCCATGGTGTACATGTATCTCATTTCCTTTATCCAATTCACCATTGTTGGGCACCTAGATTGATTCCAAGTCTTTGCTATTGTGAATAGTACTGTGATGAACATATGAGTGTATGTGTCTTTTGGTAGAAAGACTTATTTCCTTTTGAGTATATACCCAGAAATGGGATTGCTGGGTCAAATGTGAGCTGTTTTAAGTTTTTTGAGAAATTTCCAAACTGCTTTCCACAGTAGCTGAACTGATTTACATTCCCACTTACAGCATGTAAGTGTTCCTTTTGCTCCATAGCCTCAACAGCATCTGTTATTATTTGACTTTTCAATAATAGCCATTCTCATAGGTGTAAAATGGTATCTCATTGTGGTTTTGATTTGCATTTTTCTGATATTTAGTGATGTGGAGCATGTTTTCATACGTCTGTTGGCCACTTGTATGTCTGCTTTATGTTTCATTGTTTTACTACTGTTCTTTGTGGAGCAGGGCTAACTCATAGGCAGTGTGCCCAGAGTCAGCCTGCACCTTCTTTTGAGAAGTGTCTGTTCATGTCCTTTGCCCACTTTTTAATGAGGTTATTTGTTTTTTGCTCGTTCCGTTGTTTAAGTTCCTTATAGATTCTGGATATTAGACTTTAGTCAGATGCATAGTTTGTGATATTTTCTCTGTATGTTGTCTGTTTACTCTGTTAACAATTTCTTTTGTTGTATGGAAGTTCTTTAGTTTAATTAGTTCCTACTTGTCAATTTTTGTTCTCACTGAAATTGCTTTTGGGAACTCAGCCAAAAATTCCTTGCCAGGAATGATGTCAAGAAAGGCATTTCCTGGATGAATTAAATATTTCCAAGGTGAATTAAATCTTTAATTAATCTTGAGTTAATTTTTGTATATGGTGAAAGGTAGGGGTCCAGTTTCATTCTTCTGCAATGGTTAGCCAGCTGTCTCAGCACCATTTGTTGAATAGTCTTTTTCCCACTGCTTGTTTTTGTCAGCTTTGTTGAAAATCAGATGGTTGTAGTTGTATAGCTTTATTTCTGGTTTCTCAATTCTGTTCTGTTGGTCTATATGTCTGTTTTTGTACCACTATCATGCTGTTTTGCTTCTTGTAGCCTTATAGTATAGTTTGGATTCAGGTAGTGTGATGCCTCCAGCTTTGTTCTTTTGTTCAGAATTGCTTTGGCTATTTGGGCTGTTTTGCTTCCATATTTTAGATAATTTTAGAATAGTTTTTTCTAATTCTGTGAAAAATGTTGTTAGTCATTTCATAGAAATATCATTGAATCTATAAATTGATTTGGGCAGTATGGCCATTTTAACAATATTGATTCTTCCAATCCATTATCATGGAATGTTTTTCCATTTATTTGTGTCATCTCTGATTTTTTCAGCAGCATTTTGTAGTCCTCCTTGCAGGAATCTTTCATCTCCTAGGTTAACTGTATTCCTAGATATTTGAATTTTTTGGTGGCTATTGTCAATGGAACTGTATACCTGATTTGACTCTCAGCTTGAATGTTGTTGGTATATAGAAATGCTACTGAATTTTGTACATTGATTTTATATCCTGAAACTTCACTAAAGTTGTTTACCAGTTCTAGGAGCCTTTTGGCAGAATTTTTTGGGTTTTCTAGGTATATAATTGTATTGTTAGCCAGGAAAGATAGTTTGACTTCCTCTCTTCCTATTTGAATGGCTTTAATTTCTTCTGTTGCCTGATTGCTCTGGCTAGGACTTCCAGTACTATGTTGAATAGGAGTGGTGAGAACAGGCATCCTTGCCTTGTTACTGTTGTCAAGAGGAATAGTTACAGCTTTTGCCCCTTTAGTATGATATTGGCTATAGGTCTGTCATAGATGGCTCTTATTATTTTGAGGTATGTTCCTTTGATGCCTAGTCTGCTGAGGACTTTTATCATGAAAGGATGTTGCATTTTATTGAAAGCTTTTTCTGCACCTATTGAGATGATCATATGGTTTTGCTTTTAATTCTGTTATACAACCAATAATTGGTTCTTCAAAAGAATAAACAAGATTAATAGACTGCTAGCCAGATTAACAATGAAAAAAGAGAAGATCCAAATAAGTTCAACCAGAAATGACAAAGAAGACATTAGAAACCATCCAACAGAAATACAAAAGCTCCTCAGAGACTATAATGAACAACTCTATGCACACAAATTAGAAAATCTAGAGAAAATGCATAAATTCCTGGGAATACACAGTCTCCCCAGATTAAACCAGGAAAAACATGAAAACCTTAACAAACCAACAAATAGTTCCAGAATTGAATCAGAAAAAAATAACCTACCAAGCAACAAAAGCCCTGGGCCTGATGGATTCACAGCCAAATTTTACTAGATGTACAAAGAAAAAAATTGTACCAATCACATTGAAATAATTCCCAAAAAACTGAGGAAGAGGGTCTCCTCCCTAATTCATTCTATGCCCACCAGAATCTGTCTGATACCAAAATCTGGCAGAGACATACCAAAAAGAAAAAAAAAATCCGGCCAGTATTCCTGATAAGCACACACAAAAATCCTCAAAAAATACTAGAAAACTGAATCCCACAGCACATCAAAAAGTTAATACACGATGATCAAGGAGGAGAAATGATACGATGATCATTTCTGGGATGCAAGGCTGGTTCAATATATGCAAATCAATAAATGTGACTCACTAATCTTTTCTTCTGCAAAGTTTAATTTGGTATTAATCCCATCCAGTATATTTTAAATATCAAAGCTTGTAATTTTTATTCCTAGTAGTTCAATCTGGATCCTTTTTATATCTTCCGATAACTTTTTAAACCTACGGTGGAAAACAATTAAAATATCTTTTTAAAAGTCATTAACTGCTAATTTTAACATCTTTGTCATTTCTGTAACAGTTTTGATTGCATTTTCTCTGACAGAGATTATATTTTCCTACTTCTTTGCATGCCTGGTAACTTTTTATTAGATGCCAGAGATTGATATTTTTACCTTTTTGGAAGCTTGACATCTTTGTATTCTTATCAATATTCTTGAGTTTTATTCTGGGATACAGTTAAATTACTTGGAAACAGTTTGATCCTTTTAGGTCTTGCTTTTAAGATTATTAGACAGGGCCAGATTGGTGTTTAGTTTAGAACTAATTATCCCCAACAATTCAGGCAAGATCCTCCAGTACTCTAATCCCCAGAGAATTACGGGGTTCTGTAGTCTGGCTGGTGGGAACAAGCCCTGTGTGTGTACACCAGGCACTGTTACCTCTAATGCTTTAGGATGCTCTTTTTTGGGTCTTACATAGTGTTTTCACACTCATGCATTAATGTGTTGAATACCTGGAGGAGGAACCTCTGTAGGTATTCAGGTTTCTGTGTTTGTATAGCTCTCCCCTCTTACATAGTCTGCACTGCAGTCTCAAATCACATTGGTCTTCCCAGATTCATGGCTATTTTTCATCAACTTGGGAGTCTGTCACACTCTGCCTAGGTTTCTTCTCATAAGGTGGTAAGCTTGGGCAATCATAGGCTCATCTCATTTCTTTTCTGTCTCTCAAGGATCAATGTCCCTTTAATGCCTGACATCCGGTGTCTTAAAAAGCATTGATTTATGTATTTTTGTCCAGTTTTTTAGTTGTTTCAGGAGGAAAGTAAATCCAGTCCCAATTTTGCTAAATTGGCAAGAAGCAGAATTTCTCTATTATGTAGTTTAGTCTGTTAAAAAAATTCACAAGAAAAAAGCAATCTCTGAAAACTGATACAAATCTCATAATTAGACATAATTATAATGCTATAATCACACAGAAAATAATTATTCCAAGTCACTTTAGAGCACACAATTTTGTCTGTATATCTCTATTAGTTATGTATTTTAAGGACACATATAGATACAAGAAAATCTTAGACTTTATTTAGAAGTGTAATTTTTAATGATAATAGTTGTAATATTATTTTAATCTAATTATCTATATTATAACATAATATAAATAAGATGTTATATTGGCCGGGTGTGGTGGCTCATGTCTGTAATCCCAGCACTTTGGGAGGCCAAGGCGGGTGGATCATGAGGTCAGGAGATTGAGACCATCCTGTCTAACACAGTGAAACCCCATCTCTACTAAAATTACAAAAAATTAGCTGGGCTTGGTGGCGGGCGCCTGTAGTCCCAGCTACTCAGGAGGCTGAGGCAGGAGAATCGCTGAACCCGGGAGGCAGAGCTTGCAGTGAGCCAAGATCGCACCACGGCACTCCAGCCTGGGCAACAGAGCGAGACTCCATATCCAAAAGAAAAAAAAAAAAAAGATGTTATATTAATGTGATTAGGAATAAAAATTTTCAACATAAGAGCAAAGAAATCTATAACTCCAAAAGAAGTATATTTTATAATATTTACTTAGAAATGAAAATGTTAATTAAAAAACTTCATAATTTATTTTCTTTTCAAAAGTACTTATTTCCTGGTTTTGTCTATTGAAGAAGCCTAGAAGAAATGACAACCTTAAGGTAATTAACATACTAAGGGCAAAGATTTTTGAATTCTAAATATAATTTTCTACTAAAAAAACCAAGACTCCTTAGAAAAATGGCTGGTCCCACCAGATTTGGCCAGTTAAAATACAAGATGAGACTAGGACCTCTTATTGTGTCCAAAGCAAAAAGACTTATAGTTATGTGTCCGGAATTGGTGGGTTCTTGGTCTCATTGACTTCCAGAATGAAGCCGCGGACCCTCAAGGTGAGTGTTACAGCTCTTAAGGTGGTGCGTCTGGAGTTTGTTCCTTCTGATGTTCGGATGTATTCAGAGTTTCTTCCTTCTGGTGGGTTCATGGTCTTGCTGGCTCAAGAGTGAAGCTGCAGACCTTCGCGGTGAGTGTTACAGCTCTTAAGGCAGTGCGTCTGGAGTTGTTCCTTCCTCCCGGTGGGCTCGTGGTCTCGCTGGCTTCAGGAGTGAAGCTGCAGACCTTCGTGGTGAGTGTTACAGCTCATAAAAGCAGTGTGGACCCAAAGAGTGAGCAGTAGCAAGATTTATTGCAAAGAGCAAAAGAACAAAGCTTCCACAGTGTGGAAGGAGACCCGAGTGGGTTGCCACTGCTGGCTGGGGCAGCCTGCTGTTATTCTCTTTTCTGGCCCCACCCACATCCTGCTGATTGGTAGAGCCGAGTGGCCTGTTTTGACAGGGCGCTGATTGGTGCATTTACAATCCCTGAGCTAGATACAAAGGTTCTCCACGTCCCCATCAGATTAGTTAGATACAGAGTATGGACACAAAGGTTCTCCACGGCCCCACCAGAGCAGCTAGATACAGAGTGTCGATTGGTGCACTCACAAACCCTGAGCTAGACACAGGGTGCTGATTGGTGTGTTTACAAACCTTGAGCTAGATACAGAGTGCCGATTGGTGTATTTACAATTCCTGAGCTAGACATAAAGATTCTCCACGTCCCCACCAGACTCAGGAGCCCAGCTGGCTTCACCCAGTGGATCCCGCACCGGGGCTGCAGGTGGAGCTGCCCGCCAGTCCTTCGCCGTGTGCTCGCACTCCTCAGCCCTTAGGTGGTCGATGGGACTGGGCGCCCTGGAGCAGGGGGTGGCACTCGTCGGGGAGACTCGGGCCGCACAGGAGCCCATGGAGGGGGTGGGAGGCTCAGGCATGGCGGGCTGCAGGTCCCGAGCCCTGCCCCGCGGGAAGGCAGCTAAGGCCGGGTGAGAAACCGAGCACAGCGCCGGTGGGCCGGCACTGCTGGGGGACCCAGTACACCCTCCGCAGCCGCTGGCCCGGTTGCTAAGCCCCTCATTGCCCGGGGCCGGCAGGGCCGGCCGGCTGCTCCAAGTGCGGGGCCCGCCAAGCCCACGCCCACCTAGAACTCCAGTTGGCCCGCAAGCGCCGCGCACGGCCCGGGTTCCCGCTCGCGCCTCTCCCTCCACACCTCCCTGCAAGCTGAGGGAGCTGGCTCTGGCCTTGGCCAGCCTAGAAGGGGGCTCCCACAGTGCAGCGGTGGGCTGAAGTGTTCCTCAAGTGCCGCCAAAGTGGGAGCCCAGGCAGAGGAGGCGCGGAGAGCAAGCAAGGGCTGTGAGGACTGCCGGCACGCTGTCACCTCTCAGTTAGTGATGGGCTATTTGAAAAATAAATCTTGGGTGGGCCTCTCATTGGTCAAAAATGGAATAGTTTGAGCATCAGTAATGAATACAATTGTAACACAATCACTGCCCAACCCTGTGAGTTCATAAAGAAAAACAGAATGAAAGCAAAAATTTTGAAACCACTCACAGAGCTTAATTGTACACCAATGAGAATCAAATGGAGTACCAACTCTTTACTCTGAAAACGAACACCTACAAGAAAAGAATGATCATTTATCCCACTTTTCTTCATAAACTGTAGTTCTAAATAGCTAATAGAGGGTAAGGTCTTTTTCACGGGAATCTTCCAGCTAGCTCTTAATCCTATACTTGCTGAAACCAGAGAGCACATATGAAAATTAAGATTATGCTACTCGTTGTCAAAGGCATTAATGTAAATGTGGGCAGAATAAAACCAGATGGAAGTTTTTACCTGATTATTCTTATGTAAATGTCATATGTTAAGATTCTCTTTATCAAGAGGAAAATCTAACTATGACACTATGACAAACAGGCAAGGCCTTTTAAACCTAAGAATCTGATTTCTTTATGCTATAGTAACCATTTATGGGTAATTGTGCTGGCTGGGTCTGCTTTATCAGCACGTCAGTGGAGAAGACAGATGATGGTGCACTTTATCACATCAAAAAGCAAAACTTATTTGGAGATCATGAGCAAATCTATACTTTTCCCCATGGGTTTACGGCCATGATGGCCCCAGGCGGGGATGAGAACCAAAGAAGATGATGTGTGCGTGCACGTGGCACAAGTAAGATAAATGGGAAAGAGTAAATAGTAGAAATATTATTTGAATATAACTCAACCATATTTTGAGAAATTCTGCTAGAAATTCTGCATGAAATAAAAACCAGACATGAAAAGAATTAATGAGGTAAAATTTTTTAAAGATTAGAAGGATCAAAACATCAAATAAAAGGCCTTTTCTAGAAACTTTCTTAAGGCAATATATTACAGAATTTTCAGCACAGGAATTTGGGGAGGCCAACTGAGGACTAGCTATGTGACTAGTTTGGGCATGTTACTTAACTTTTCTGGGCATCAGTTTTCTCATCTATGACATAGGGTCATCAATTGCGTCTATAACATAGGGTTGTTATTAAATGAGTTGATGTATATATGTACTTTTTTATTTTTTATTTTACTTTAAGTTCTGGGATACATGTGCAGAACGTACAGGTTTGTTACATAGGTATACATGTGCCATGGTGGTTTGCTGCACTTATCAACCCATCATCTAGGTTTTAAGCCCCATATGCATTAGGTATTTGTCCTAATGCTCTCCCTCCCCTTGACCTCCACCCCCCGACAGGCCCTGGTGTGTGATATTCCCCTCCCTGTGTCCATGTGTCCTCATTGTTCAACTCTGACTTATGAGTGAGAACATGAGGTATTTGGTTTTCTGTTCCTGTGTTAGTTTGCTGAGAATGATGGCTTCCAGCTTCATCCATGTCCCTGCAAAGAACATGAACGCATTCTTTTTTATGGCTGCATAGTATTCCATGGTGTATATGTGCCACATTTTATTTATCCAGTCTATGTTTATTGCAGCACTATTTACAATAGCAAAGACTTGGAATCAAGCCAAATGCCCATCGATGTATATATGTACTTTAAAAAGACTATCCCATATTAAGCTTCTGCAAATGTTAACTGCATTCATTTCTTTGACTTAAGGTTTTGCATAAGCCTAACAACTTACAGATATATCAAGGTAAATCAACACATTACCCATTCATGCTGTACTGGCAAACTGAGTCTCTGAGAGTGAGGAGAAGGTCACTTGAAAGAGAAAAGGGTGAGGGAAAGGATAACTGGGGTATGCAGGGAAAGGGTAAAATTGGGGGTGCTTTAAAGACAGGTGGTGTTTGTTTTAGTGTTAAAAACAAAAATGGCCTTCTTTGTAATGCTGATAGCACACCTAGTTTTCGGTTTTATAAGACACTCTATTCAGTGGCAACATCAGTGATGAACAGGAGACACAGTTCCTGGTTGTTAGATTATTGCTCAGATAATTGGAATAAAGAAGACCTCATTCTGTATTACTCATCAGTGGGTCTTACTTTTTTTTGTGTTTCAAAATTACTCCGTTGTGTGCCTCTCCTTTTCTGAGAAAAAGATCAAGTCACCTTTAATGCTGCATTTCCTATTTAATTTGTTGCTTGCTCTCCTCTTCCCTTATTCGCTTCCTAGAGTATAACCAAATGCAAGATTTCATTCTTTGATGTTTTCATGTTGAACAATTGGAATCATGGAATTTCTTCAAGAAAGGACTGCTGAAGCACGATAGGTATCGTTGATCTTAACGATGATCTTAATGAAGAGCTTTGATAGTTCTGAATAAGACGTTATTGAACAGAAATGAGAGCTTATAGATGGAGGGGGCAGGAAACCATGTCAGCTTCAATAAGAACAGATGGCATATTATTTAGATAAGCACAATCTGTCCTATCTACAGTCCCTGATGGCTTGCCATCAAGGAACTCTAAGGATTGTTGGATATCATCACAAGACTAATAGCTGCCATTTTTAAGAATTCTTTGTTTGATGCCGTATGCCAAGGAGATATGATAATGCTTCTTTCTTTTTTCTTAAAGCAAGGGAAAGAGAACCCAAATAATTACTGGCTAATAATTTCTAGACTGAAAAGACACTGTAATAAATCATTCAGAAATCAGTTTGAAGACATCTACAGAACAGGTCACTGGCATTGTTACAAACAGATCTAGACTGATTTAACAGAATCCTTCTATCATAGAATGGCAGGGTGCTGGATTAAGGAGAAAAATGGATATAATGTATCTTGAGTTCAGCAAGGTATAGTTCCTGGCTCATATGACATACTCGTTAATAATCTTGGCATGATATTCTCCATCAATGTTCTCCTTGCTGTGCTCCGACACTGGTTTCTCTTGGTCCCTGTAGCTCTTCTGGGTGTTTCATTTCTGTATTCATGAAGCTAGACGTTGGGGTCTAAGAATGTCTTACACTTGATCAAGCTGTGTCCTCGTTGGGAGAGTTTTGTTTTAATTCCTCAGACAATGACATTTTATCCTACTTCCACACTCTCACACAAAAGTCACTAAATTTGCTCTTTCTGAATGCTTCACTGTTTCCTGTGCGGTCCTGCAGCTTTGTTTAGACTTATCTACTCAATTAGAGACCCATACACTGTTCACTATATCAACTGTTTAAAAATCGTACCATCTGTAAGAAAATAATTAATGTGTCAGTTTTAGTTAGTGGCTCTGTACTAGTGGATGGATTATGTGGATTTGGTTTAACAAGAAGACTAAAATGTTTTAGGTGGTGTGGAAGCAAATTAAAAGAGATACAAATATATAATGGTGCACAGAGTTATATCAAGTCGAAGTGCGTAGATTCATAATGATTAAGAAAAGGAACTCTGGAATCTATTTGTTTGGGTTGGAATCCTTATACCATACTACCTCACTAGCTGTGTGTCGTTGGGTAATTTACTTAACTTCTCTGTGCCAGTTTCCTTATTCACATCCTATTTTCAATGGCATGCCTTTTCTCTTGGTTTATTCCACACACCTCTTTAATAGGAACTGTGTCAGTTTCATCTAATAAATATTGAATGTATGAAGGGATGAATGGATAAAAGAACAAAAGAAAACTATAAACTTTTGTCTCAGCTGGGCCACTCCATTACAAAATGTTTAAACTGGTTGAGTTTGACAGTCCTTCTACTACATTACGAAATAATAAAATTTATGCATTAATGTCGGAAGTTAGCATCAATTATAACATTACTCTAATAAAATTTTATTAACGAAATATTTAGGACTCAATTTGTTCGTAAGTTTAAGACTGCCACTGTAATAGCCAATTCTCAGTAAGGTTATAGGTGCCACAAAGAGCAGAGACAGACACATCCCTGAGGGAAATTTTGCTTAGGCTTTTTTTTTTTTTTTTAAATTTAAAAGCAGTTTTCACTGAGTAACTTGTCCTAGTTATGCCTATTTTTAAGCCTCTTTTTTTTTCTTTCTTGTAGACAAGAAGTACTGCTTTAATAAACGTGAACCGATGTGCACTCCTGTATGTTTGAAACTAAGAAGCCTAAGGTGAATTAAAGAATCTGTGGTTCTTGTGGGTCCTGCAGGTTACAAACTTGTGAAAAATCTTTGACTTTATACATCCCACTGCCCTACCCTGTTGGAAAAGACCAATCCTGGGTAAGTAGAACGTCCTCTTAGCATAGTAGAATATGGGTCAATTTAGTTAGCACTAAGGCCTTTACTCCCAGGGATGGGAATATCCTGATGTTAGGAAGTTCCAAAGAGTAAGATCAAAGGTTCTTTGCTCTGGTTTGGTTTCCTCCTTCCCCTTGCTCTCTGTCTTAGCCTGTTTGAGCAGCTGTAGCAGAATACCATAGACTAGGTGGCAGGTAGACAACAGAAATGCATTGCTCACAGTTCTGGAGACTGGGGAATGCAAGATTGAGGTGCCAGCAGATTTCATGTCAGGTACTAGCCTTCTTGGTTCACAGATGGCTGTCTTCTCTCTGTCTCCTCACATGGTGGAAATAATGAGGGAGCTCTTTGTGGTCTATTTATTTATTTTTTTCTAGACAAGGTCTTGCTCGGTCACCCAGGCTGGAGCACTATGGTGTGATCTCGGCTTATCACAACCTCTGCCTCCTGGGTTCAAGCCATCCTCCCACCTCAGCCACCTGAGTAGCTGGGACTACAGGCGCATGCCACCATGCCCAGCTAATTTTTGTGTTTTCAGTAGAGATGGGGTTTCACCGTGTTGCTCAGGCTGGTCTCAAATTCCTGGCCTCAAGTGATCTGCCAGCCTCAGCCTCCCAAAGTGCTGGCATTATAGGCATGAGCCACCGATGCCTGATCGTGGTCTATTTTATAAGGGCACTAATCCCTTTCACGAGGGCTCCACTCTCATGAATGACTTAATCATCTACTAAAGGCCTCACCTCCTAATACAATCATATTGGAGGTAAGGATTTCCATATATGAATTTGGGGTGAACACATTCATTCTATAGCACTCACCCACATTTTATCGAGGCACACTTCTTTTCCATGGATTTGTTTGGGGCTGGAAACATAAATCAGCAAATACATTTTCAGGAAGACTATCTCAAGTACTGCTGGAGTAATAACTGCAGAAAGTGTTAGAAATATCATAGAAAAGTGAATTCTCAGCATTGCTCAAGAATTTTTTTTCTTTTTTTGAGATGGAGTCTCATTCTGTTGCCCAGGCTGGGGTGCAGTGGCATGATCTCTGCTCACTGAAACCTCTGCCTCCCTGATTCAAGCGATTCTACCGCCTCAGCCTCACGAATAGCTGGGATTACAGGTGTGCACCACCGTGCCTGGCTAATTTTGGGAGATGTTAGCTGAATTCTACACTGGCTGATAAAAGCATACCACCGGGTGCGTTGGTACACTTGCTATTCTCGTTACCCTATTAAGTTGTAGTGGAAAGACCAGGTTCATCAGAATTTTAATACATAACACTTCCCACTAAACATATTTGGAAAAAATATTAATTTTATTGAGATAAATGTAGTCAAATTTTGTTTGTATTAATTATTAATGTTGCTCAATCTTTATGTGTGTTGTTCTCAAAGTTAAAAGCTAATGTGCTATGTAATGTGAGAAGGCCCTGTGGTCAGAACAGAGAGGGGCAGGCTGGGCACACAGTTAAATATTCAAGATCTTTGAGCACAGCCCCCTCCTGCTGCTTCTTGTCTCCTCCAGTCTTTGAAGTGGATTCTTGAATCCTTTCACTTCTTCTGTCTCTGCCCTTCTTGCCCCTGGTTTAGTGATTCAACCCACATTCACTGCCTCTCAACCTCGCTTCCTGTTGCTGCCACTGCTTCCGGCCAGGCCCTCACTGCTGACCTTCTGATCAGTCCAGGTAACCCACAAGCTCCCTAGTGCGGCCTCCATTAACTTTTGGTCTTCATGACCCTCAACTGCCCGCGGGGTTCATCCTCACCGAGTGACTTTCCAAGAGAAGCTGGACTCCCTTCCTCATATCTGAGACGTGCTGAATTAGAGAGGCAAAGAAATCAATGTATCCCATGAGAACTTCTAATTCCTGTGCCTTCAAAAAGAAAGTTGAGAACGGTGACTTTTAGTCCTAATGAGAAATTAAAAATCCTGAGGCCTACGGAAATTTTAAAAAATACATACATTTTGAAATAAACTAGCACTTTCTTAACTTTTAAGAGATTTTTTGAGACATGTTGAAGTGCAGAGACAAAGAAAATATTTTCTAAGTAATTTTTTACTTAGAATTTTCTAGCTAGTGCAGGCTGTATTAAGTTCTTCAAATTATGAAAAAGAAAAAAATGGTGTATCATTAAGAACTTTCCATGTAAATCAAGGACTTTTTTCTTTCTTAGAAAAAAAAGAATGGGCACATCATTTTTACATTAGAGGTAGTATTTGTTTTCAGGTTTTATAGTTAATTAATTAAAAATGATAATAATAGTTGAAATATCTGACCCTTCCCTCGAAGCATTTTATTTTTTTAGCATAGAATTAGAATATGGGAATGCATTTTCTCTGCCTGTATTAGGAGGATCTTATTGTAGTAGGTCATTGCAAACTGGTTTTCTTCTGTTGAGAGAACATACTTTTGTTCCATTCATATAGGTTTCTTATTTGGTCATGCATAAAATAAATGATTTAAATGAATGAAAGAGGTTTGAATGTGAGCACATTTTAAAAGTACTTATTTATTTATTAATTAACTTTTATTTAGAAATAATTATAGATTCACATGAAGTTGCAAAGCCAGCGCAAGGAGGTTCCATTTTTTTTTTCTCATGATAGTTACATCTGATGTAACTATAGTACAATAGCAAAACAAGTTTTATTTTCTATGAAAATTCCCTAGAAAAATCTCAGAACCCCTCTTTCCTACACATTTGCATGCACACACATGCTCATGCACTTACTTCTGTGTGTGCACAGAAGAGCCATTTTATCTAAGACTTTCAGCCTGGAGGCACCCTCAATCAATAGCAGCCTGCTACCCGGAAGGAGGCTGGAAAGCCTCTAATAGTGACACCATTCCTTTTGGAATCAGGTCAAGCCCAGGAGGCTGGAGACAAATGAAAGAATAATCTGGGGTCATGCCCAGGACTCCTGTATCAAAGCCTTTACTATCAACTACCAAACACAACAACCTGACAGATTGAAAGAACAGTTTTATGATGTATAGATTTTTAGCCATTATCCCTTTTTATTCTCACAGAGGAAAAGGCAAAATACTAGGCACAATAGATTTTAAGAGGTTTTGGTTCTTAAATTCATCAGAAAATAAAGTACAAATGAAGTACTACTCAGTCAGCTTGTATTATGTCTTTATTACTGTTAATATGGGTACTCTGTGAGTAGGAAATATAATATTTTTAGGTCACGCTTTAAAAGTGTAATGCATTAGTAAAAGCAGTCTGGAGCTATATGGTTGGCTGAAGACAATGAGACGACATGCACCATAGCTAGTATATTTCCTGACACTTCTCTCTCCAGAGCCTTGCCGGGCATCAGTAATCACATATAGCATCATTTCTCAATGAGCCCGATACCATCATCGCACAGTTTCAGGCAGCAGCTACCAATTGATTATAATTAACTGGCATCAGAAATGGAATCTAATGTGGGTTTTTTGGTGATGATTGATAGGGAAAGGCTCCCCTAAGAAGCTGGTTTTGAAAGTACTTTGAAGAAACTGAAAGAAGGAGATTGGAAATAGAAGAGTCAAACATCTTGTGGACAGATGATCATTTTATTAGTAATCCTAGAATGTTTGTTCCTAGCTATAATTCCTAGAATCTCAAATAGTGTGTATCACATTGTTGTTACTTAATACACTTTTGCTGAATTAACGAACAAATGGTTTGATGTTCCTTTTTAACCACCAATGGGTGGTATCAGAAAGGAAGCAGATTTTCATAGGAGGGCAGCCCCTTAAGGGGTAAGGTATCCTCTGGGTCTGGTTCTTAGTTTTATATGTCCAGAAATAACAATTCCATAGTTCTCAGTTTCTAGTATCACTGTTCTCTCAGTCACAAAACTTTGGAATCTCTTGGTTTGTCCTTCTCCACGTACCCAGTCAGTTACTAAGTCTGCCTTACAGTAAGTCTTATTTTCATTATTTCAAATTGAGTACCTTGCTTCCACTAAAATCACCACGTAGTGTTTTAATTACTACATTAGCTTTTTAAATTTTCGATCTTTCTTTGATTTTATCTTTGTTTAAAACTTACTTTGTGCCTTGTCAAAAGATGAATATTATAAAAATAGATTTGTTTTTCTATAACAAAAAATCTTAGGCATTGTAGAAAAATGGAATAATTATGTAAAAAAAAGACAATATAAAAATCATTCTTAATTCCATCTAACAGAAATGAACAGAGTTAGCATGTTGACTTGAATTATAGTGGTAGTATTTTTTTCTTTGGTAATACATTGTCTTTATTTCACACAAAAAATTTTGTTTATGTTATGCATATTTCTTAATAACATGCTTTTTCTTATTTAAAATATATTCAATATTTCCCATATTCTTTGTAACATTATTGCCTGAATGGTATTTATCTTATGGATAATGAATAACTTATTCACCATTCCCTTACTTATAGTCATTTCCATTTTATGCAGTAAAGAACACTGAAATAAATAAATACTGCTGTTGTAATAACACATGAGTAAATTATACAATAAGTTCTTTAGAATAATTTCTAAAAATATTATTTGTATAATTTAAAGAGTTGAAAACTGTTGAGGTTTTTCACTATATATTACAACATTGCCTGGCAGGGAAATCATATCAACTTAAACTCCCACCAGAAAAATGTAAAGAATTGGCAATTCAGTAGATAAATTAAACAACAGATTAGATACAGCTGAAGGAATAGTTTTAGAACTGAAAGATAAATCTGAAGTAATTACCCAGAACCCAGGACAGAAGGAAAAAATACAGAAAATATTGAAGATGGGTTAAGGGACACAAAAGATAGATAGAATAGAATAAAAAGTCCAAAATCTGGCAAACATATGTTTATAAGGAGGCAGTAATAAAAATGTGTGAGAAGAAAATTCAAAGATATAATGCTGAAAATTTTCCAGAATTGATGAAAATATGAATCATCCAACTGAAAACTCATAATTCATCCTGAGCAGAATAAAAAATAAATAAATCTTGAAAGTGTAAAAGACAAAATATTTGAAATAACCTGATATAAAATAATTTAACATCAAAGGCATAAACAATAGAGTAACAGCAAACTTGTCAACAGAAACAACATAAATTTAAAGATAATAGGATCATATATTCAAAGCTTTGATAGAAACTAGATTTTATATTTAGTAAAACTATTATTCAAGTGTGGGGTTAAAATGTTTTTTAGGCAAACAATGGGAGATTTTACTGCCTGATGTTCTCCAGAAGTAAAGAAATGCAGAATAAAGGAGTAGTATTCCATAAAAATTGAGCTAAGAAAATTGGTATGCATGTGAATAAATATTTTTTAAACATTAAAACAATAATAATGATGATTACTTTTGAAAGTTGAAAAGAAGAATAGAACTAAAATCTCAAGTAATGACATTTTAAGATGAAGAAAAGTATATGGAATGAAAGTTTTCTGAAGTCTTTTTACTGTTCAGAAAGATGACGGAAGATACACTGATGATTAAATTTAAATTTGTTAATCCAAGCTAACCAATTAAAAATGTTAACATAATTCCTAGAGTAAATTAAATGAAAAAAACTTAAAAAATAGAGAAAGGAAACATATGAATAAAACAAGAGGAATCTTGTAAAGTTAAATATATACATATTTGGGGACCAAGGAAAAGTATCTTAGAAAACTTGGATGCGAACATTAATAAGTAATTGAATAAATAAATCCATAAAATATACAAGATTTTCATTACAGCATTATTTGTAGCATTGAAAAACTGAAAATTAAGTGGATAAACTGGTTTATTCACGAAATGAAATACATACACAATTAAAATAAATGAACTATATTTGCATACATCAACATGGCTAAATACTCAGAAAACTGAATGAAAAATTAAGTTGTAAAAAAGAGTATGATGCTATTTTTATAAAATTTTCGGACAAAATAGTACAATACCCCCATATATGACATACAAAAACTAAAGTATAAAATATAAAAGAGGATATCCTTTTCAGCTTCAAAATACTAGCATCCTCTGAAAATAAAAGAATTAGATGGAGCTATAGCTACACAGAACATTTTATTTCTTTTAAAAAATACCAATTTGAAGGAAATATGCTAATATCTCTTAAATCCTGTATGGTAAATATGTGAACGCCTGATATATTATTTTCTGTACTTTGCTATATATTCAATTGCATTTTAGACTTAAAAATAACATTTAAAAGAAAGCCTTTCTCATACCCAAATTACATAAGTCTGATAAATGTTTTTAAACAGGTTGTTTCAAACAGTTTGCTGCTCAAAAACTACTTTTGCCAAAACTTCTACATCTAAAGCAAATGACATCCTTTTTAAGGTAGTTTGGCTAAAGACTAAACGTTTCTTCCAGTAATACTCCAATTTTTCAAAAACAATTTTAGAATCCCTCTTTTGTAATTTCCTAAAGCACTTTGTGATGATGAGTTACCATGAAAACGACATTGTTTCATATGTAAACCCTGTTTCTGAGATAGGAGTTGAAGTCAGGCACCAGCACTCAATGCTGAGCAAAATCATGGTCACTGCTTTCCTGGGGCTCAGAGCCCAGGCATCTTCAAATAACCCTTGACTGTTCAGAATATGAAATTCACAGTGAAAAGGGAGCCACAAGTGATCAGGGGGATAGTGTACTTTTTTGTTTTTTTGTGTTTTTTTCGTTTGTTTGTTTGTTTTGAGACGGAGTCTCTCTCTGTCGCCCAGGCTGGAGTGCAGTGGCGCGATCTCGGCTCACTGCAAGCTCCGCCCCCCGGATTCACGCCATTGTCCTGCCTCAGCCTCCCGAGTAGCTGGGACTACAGGCGCCCGCCACCACGCCCGGCTAATTTTTTTGTATTTTTAGTAGAGATGGGGTTTCACTGTGTTAGCCAGGATGGTCTCGATCTCCTGACCTTGTGATCCGCCCGCCTTGGCCTCCCAAAGGGGTGGGATTACAGGCGTGAGCCACCGCACCCAGCTAACATTGTTTTTATAGTACGATCTCGTCATCTTTTATTTATCTATCCAATTGCCTTTTCATATACTTTCCCCATCTATATATCTTTGTAAGTATCTATTTTGACATGCTTTTGGTTTCTAGAATGATAGAATTTCTTTTTTTTTTTTTTTGAGATGGAATGTCACGCTGTCGCCCAGGCTGGAGTGCAGTGACGTGATCTCGGCTCACTGCAAGCTCCGCCTCCCGGGTTCACGACGTTCTCCTGCCTCAGCCTCCTGAGTAGCTGGGACTACAGGCGCCCGCCACCATGCCCGGCTAATTTTTTTGTATTTTTAGTAGAGACGGGGTTTCACCGTGTTAGCCAGGATGGTGTCAATCTCCTGACCTCATGATCCACCTGCCTCGGTCTCCCAAAGTGCTGGGATTACAGGCGTGAGGCATTGCACCCAGCCTTGTGTAATTTTATGTATGAGGATAAAACAACAAAAGGGTGTAAAACACAACAGAAACCAGAGGTCCAAAGAATAAGAAGAAAGAAATGCCAAGGTATATAAAGATTACAAGGGTAGGCCGGGCGCAGTGGCTCACGCCTGTAATCCCAGCACTTTAGGAGGCCGAGGCCGGAGGATCACGAGGTCAGGAAATCGAGACCATCCCAGCTAACACAGTGAAACTCCGTGTCTGCTAAAAAAAAAAAAAAAATACAAAAAAAAAAAAAAAAATTAGCCGGGCATGGTGGCGAGCGCCTGTAGTCCCAGCTACTCGGGAGGTTGAGGCTGAGGCAGGAGAATGGCGTGAACCCAGGAGGCAGAGCTTGCAGCACTGCACTCCAGCCTGGGGAGAGTGAGATTCCGTCTCAAAAAAAAAAAAAAAAAAATTACAAGGGTAGAATGAAACAAAACACAAATAAGCAAAAACTGCAATGTGAAGGGCTTTAGTGTTCAGAAATCCAGAGAGAGAGGTAAATCGAGGGGAGGACCTACAGATTATCACAGGGAGAGGCACCATGTGGTACTTGCAACTAGGGCTCAGGGCAGAATGAAACAAAATGTACAGTGCTTTTTAAAAGACTGTCTCTAAGAAATGTAGCTGTAAGAATGAGAAAGACGGAAAAGAAAGATGATCTGCCATGATAGCTTTTGAATTCCGCCTCAATAAAATGGCAGATATATAACCCAGCCATTGTAAATGCCATCTACTTTGTAGTCTATCCAGCTTTCTAATTCCAATTAAGTATGCTGAATTCTGTGACATATGCAGAGCTCGAAAGGACAAATTTCCAACGCTCTCTTAAGAGAATTCATTAGAACTTCATCTTTCGGATCTGGCTATAGGAAACCTTGACTGCCTCGCACGTGATGGAGTGGCGTTCAGAAGGAAGACGACCGTTTTTAACTCAGAATCTGCGAGTCTGTTCCAAAACAAGATGGAAAACGCTTCCTGAGAGCTTCAGTTAAAACACTGTAACAAATGTTTCAGCAGATCTCAAATATTGTAATTTATCACGTTTATCCCCCGAAGAAATCTGCAATAAAATCCCAGCGTGTGCAAGATAAATGCGCTGGAGCGCACAGGGCAGTGATGAAGAGCACGGGCTCCCGCGTCAGGCACACCTGGGCTTAAATCTTGCCTCAGCAGCTCACCAGCGGTGTGACTCTGAGCTCATTTTCCCCTCTGAGCCTCAGTGTCCCCGTCGGTTAAGTATGGCTAACAATATCTCCTTGGACACATTTGTTTTGGGGAAATAATTAGGTTGAGTGAGTAACATGTTTGGTGCAGTGCAGAGAGGGTAAGCACTCCTGCAGCCTTGCAAAGGCACCACTAACAGTGGCAGCGATGGTGTCACGGTGACATGAAGATAGTGACCATCACCATCATCATTGTCCTACATCATTGTCCACATCAGCCATTGTCCTACATTGGCTCAACTTTGTTGCAACAATCCAGCTCCACGCAGACTCTTCTGTGAAGAAAGCTTCCCTGACCTGCAGAGAGCATCTGGTCCTCTGCAGAAAGCTCTCGATTTAGCTTCATTTTATATTTGAATTTGGTTCATGTTGCCTCCTCACTATTGCTAAGTGCTGTGCTCTTAGCACCTAGAGCTGAGGCTGACAAAAGTATCAACCAGCAAGAGCAGCTTTCAGGAAAATACTGAATCATAGTTTACAGAATGATAAATGAACAATAATTATTAACAATGATGAAACTTACAATAGACTCTAAAAACCCTTATGCATCTGTTTCTGCAATCAGGATATGCCGAGCAGCGGAAACAGGGCACACTTCTCCTTAGACAGTATTTGAATTAAGTTACAGCTAAGTCATTCATTCTGCTCTTTAAGGTGAATTTCACTGATTTCATCCAGCAAATATTTTTCTCACAGAAAGCAGAACTTATTTTCTTAATAAAAACACAATTGTTGGGAAGAAAAGAACTGGAGCATGTAGTAAACACACAGTTTGAGAAAGATGGAAACAGAAGTGGAAATTCTCCCTCGCCCAGATGCCGGTCATCTGAGCATGTTCAGCTGAACTTTATTTATTATGTCACAATCATATTCTTGAAAATGAGGTGGCAGTGACTATGAGAAGAAACAGGACATAGGATATGCTGTGAAGGCAGAAATGTCCGATGGTGACCACAGATTATGCAGGGACTAAATAACAGCAATGAATCATCTGAGCAGAATAAGGACACACCCTCCTAGCCACCCACCCTCCACATTCTACTTTCCTGAATTTAATAAATTGGAGTGAAAAATTGAATTCTAAATGCTACACCACAATAAAGACAAATCACTCAAGACAAAATGAAAATACAGAAAATCAGAAAACCAAACCTATTTATTGAGGATCTCAACTCTGCCTGCATAACAGAACTATCTAGGTATTTCTGAAAAACAATGTCCTATGCCTGAGGTTCACCCCAAGAGTTTCTGACCCCCAGGTAATTCTAGGGTGTAGTGGCAGTTGAGGACCATGGTCTTAAGTCCTTTATGATAAATCACTAGTTAGTACTGATGGACTGACTTATGAGGAAATATATACTTTTCTTAGTCATAACAGAGACTTTCCTGTTTTAATATATTAATGTTCTAAGCAACAAGGAAAAACAGATTATGTATTCTCCTATCAAGATAAAGATTTTAAAGAATAAATTTCACCTGAAAAAAATCATCTTTTTAAAAGTAGATAAATGAGTGTATGGGAGGTGGGGGAGAAGTTTGGGGTTGCCATATCAGAACCTCCTACAGAATTTTTCTGAGTACAAATCTGTGGCACCATCCTTTCCCCTAAAAGGCCAAGTTGAATCTCACTGGCAGCTTCAGCCCATGTGTGATTTTGAAACCTGGGTCACCTTACTAGCTCTACATTCATTTGTGTTCCTCAGCTGACTCGGATCTTGTTTGTATCTTCCCTAGAATGCTGAAGCCCTGATGGAAGATGAATAGAAACCGGACACTCCCACAGAGGGCTGGTTAGCTGGTGCACCATCCCATTTGCTCTTGGACTCTGCTCACTTCACCTCTCGGTGTGACTTTGCGATGGCTGGAGCTGTGCCAGGCCTGCTACCCCTGGACACCTGATGATATCAAGAGGACTAAGGGCCCCTGAAATTTCAGAAATGCTGAATCCGTGGCAAAAGAGATGTTATTGGTGCCCTGAGTTCTTGTAATCTCCAAGGAGAGAAATCAAGAGGGATCACCAGACATAGCAGCCAAAAAGAAAGAGAAAAATTTATTTTAGCTTGTGTGCAAGGAAGTCAGCACTGCAAAAGGAAAAGGTGGGTTGCTCCCCAAGGGCAGTATGTGGGTTAGTTTTACAGGGACTTTCTATAGAAAAGGATTTTGTCAGAGCCTGAATAGGAGGGGTTTGTCTAGAGCTTGTGCAGTGGTTTTACATGCTTCTTCATACATCACAAATAACATGAGCATTTTAAATCTCCACTGCTGGGCATGATTTTTAGCATTAAAATGAGGCAAGGGTAACTATAAGTTAAAGTTTAAGTCTAACTGCACACGCAGAACTTCATGGTAGGCCCTAGCCCCCTGAAGTAGGAACTCGTGGTGGTTAATAACTTCTTGGGTCTTGTTGTTAATCAGCTGGAAGTTAGGTAAGGTGCAGCATGAATAAGGGGCTTTTGTTCTTTTTCTCGAAACCACCTCAAAACAGGAAATCAGCCAGCCTGTCTGTCTCAGAAAGACCAATAGGTGTGAATTAATCTTTAACCAAAATATCCTGGGCTCCAAGGCAATTTGGGGGTGTAAATACACCCCCAAATCTTCTATTAATTTCTTAAATAGATTATGAGGCAATCCAATGATTCACAGATTTACCTTTGCCTATCCACTGAGTGAACTTTAAGAGAACTGTAAGTTGTTTTTCCAGTAGGTTTATCTGCTAGAGCAGATGAAATCTGTTCTTATTCATTGCAGGCCTCCTGAGATCCTAGTTCCTAAATTTTTAGCAGACTCTTCCACCTCTCTATTGAAGGGTGTGAAGTATCTTCCCTGTACTCAAAATAGCTACTGATTGATTGTTCAGTCATTTACATATAAAAATAAGACTCTGTTTTCTTCCTCAGCAACAAGGAACTCTCTAATTCCTATCTGACAGTTCACAGAGATGTGGTGAGTAAGTACAAGTAGGTCTTCGACAAAATTTCTTGCAAATACTCTATTGGTCAAGTCCTTGTAGAATCAACTAGGAAAGTACAGTGCCTATGTTAGGTTTTTAATCTGTCAACATGCTATAGCTTTATTTGATGAAAGACTGCTCCATGCTGTGTAACCAGTAAAATATGAATTATAGGTAATCATCTCATCAGAGTTGAATTCTTTACATTTAAAAAATATGAATCCTACCTTAAGGAAAGCTTCTATTTTCAAAGTGGAATCTTTCTAAATACTCTTGGAACTGGAGTTATTTTCAAGTGCCCTAGAGAAAGCAAACAGCTGTTGAATCCTACACAGAACTAAGAGTTCAAAAATCAGTGCTTAGACTTTCCATTTCAGCCCAGCAGGGTCACCCAAGTGACATTTCTGGGGAACAGAATCAACTTCCAGTAAATTAGCAAACATACACCACAAATGGAAATATTCAATTGAATATTTATAAGAAATAAAAAATTGAAGGTGTATGGAAAAGAGAATCACTTTTTATTATTGAAATGTCTAATGCTTCAAGCTAATAGTTTAAACTGAAAATCAGGATGTTATTGGGAAAGGAATGCAATTAACATTTTATGAGTAACTGTGTGGTGGTGTTTGTTATTGTTAAAGGAAAAAAAAAGCAAATACTTCCCAAGTACACTTTGTTTATTTCAATTCCTAGCGGCAGAGATTTTAAGGGTGTTTACTGGTGTAATGGGAAGAGCACTGGACTAGGAGCCAGGAAACCTGAGTTTGGCCAGTGATCTTTTGGCCTTGATTTTCTTTTCTGTAAAATGAGAAAGAGGGCTAGGCTAGTCGTTTCTGGCACATGTCTGGCCACATGACAAACCTCTTCCTCAAAGATTATGACTCAGTAGGTCTGGGAGACCCGCTTCTGGCATACTGAGATTAGATCCCACAAGCACATCATTTAGCTTATGTGGAACTAATGGATGGATCAAAACATTGAAAGATAAGCAGTGTTTATTCTAAGGGAGAAAGGGAAGGAGACTTGCCGGAAATCATGGAAGCTGAGATGTCATATTAAAAGAAGCAATAGAAAGAATCTTTGAGCCAAAGTTATCAAAAATACAGGCATTTCCATTGTGCATTTGTGGAAGAAAGACACACCATGATTTGAAAGTTTCTGATGTGATTCAAGGATGCCTATGAGGAGGCAAGTAAGCGGCACCACTGTTTGCACTCTGACTCCCTTTTTACCCAGTGCATCTCTGCTTAGTCTGTTTTAAATGCCACAGTTCAGTGGCTGAAACATGATTGAGCTGTATATTCTAACACTATGTCCTGGAAACTGGTGAATCTGTATTTGTTCCCAATTTCTGTATCTGTTAATGCCACCATCTTTCTCCTTATACACACTTTTATTAGGTTGGTGCAAAAGCAATTGTGGTTTTTGCCATTAATAAAAGCCCATGTCCAGTTATGACCTAGCTTGTCAATTCCTTTATATTTCATCTCAGATTTATCTCAGTCGTTCACCTCCCATAGCCACTTCCTGATCACAATCATCTAAATTACTGCAATGCCCTTTTGCCTAGTCTCTGAGTCTCCATTTTATTTCTTCTTCAATTCTTCCTTCAGCACTTCTTAAATTAACCTTTCTGTTTCACAGTTCTCATCCTGTTATTCGCTTTCACAGAATCATATACTTTTGGTTAATTGTCTCTGTAATGGTGTCAAAATTCCTTAGATAGAGTCGGAAGGTTCTCAATAATTCAAACCCACTTAGCATTATAAATTATTTTATTCTGTTTTTCTGTTTGTAGCGTACGATTGAGCCAAACTAGAATTGTTCTTACATCACGTGAATGAGCCCGTATGTCTTTTATCTGATTTGCCCTACTCTTTCACATTTCCTATTGAATCTCTGTCTATTTTCATTTACTGAAAGAATAACAGAAGAGATAAAACTACATAATCCTATTTCCCAGCACAATTATTTCAATTTTTATGTAGAACTTTTACTTTTACATATGCATATGTATTTTCATAAATGCAGTCAATTTTATGTATATTTTTGCATTCTCATTATAAGCCCTTTCCATTTAGCTACATAATTTTCATTTTTAATAGTTGCATAATTTTCCATACAGCAGCTGTGCCATAATTCAGGTAAACATTTTTCTATCGATGGCCATTCTGGGTGTTTCTAATTTTTAGCTATTATAAATAGTACTGCAAATTTTAGCTATTATAAATAATGCTGCAATTAATAGCTCCATGTATAACATTCTGTTTGGGGTTTATTACCTTTGGATAACTTTCCAGGAGTGGATTTTACTAGGCCAAAGATATAAAATTTTTATGGCTTTTTGATGTACACTGACAAATTATTTTCCAAAAAGTTTATACCGATTTATACTGCCACCAATAATGTATATGAGTGTACTATTTTTACTACAAACTTGCTGACTCAAAACAGAACTATACCTCACTAATATATTATTTTTTCATATTTTTAGTACATGTGTTAGGAAATGTAATGCTTAAATTTTAAGTATTGCATTTTCTTCTTATGTATTAATAAATTGTCTGTTCACATTATTTTCTGGCTGAATTTGTAAATTTCAAAAGGTCATGGGCCATGTCAGTCTTCTCTCCACTCTATAGTACAGTTCAGCACTGTTGCAGTACATAGAGAGTATTCAATATGTATTTGTGCTGTAAGTAAATGTATATTTATCTTTTGATAAATATACATTTACTTACCACATTTTTATCAATCCAGATGAGCTCTTTGTAGACTTATGAGTATTAACCATAGTTAAAGTAAATATTTTCCATTTATTCTAGTGAACATTGCTTTAGAAGACACAAAAATTGTAATAGAAACTGTTGCTATAGTCTTTGTGCTTTCTTGTATCGCCTTAAAACCTAAAAGTTGTACTCTATAGAGATGCTAATGTGTACATTCAAGTTTTTATTTATTTTTGTATTTTTTGTTATAGATTTTTTTGGGGGAGATTAATTCTAACTATTCTTGAATCAAGACCTCTCCTCAATGCTTCTTTCTCAGGTTCTGTCTGAGTGCTGGGTTATTTACCTGAAACCATAGCTACTGATGGCTTAGATCTGAAGCTTTTGGGTTGGATCCCACCTGGAGCCTTCGCTTTGCTTCTGTGTGTAGGAACATTTTACCTAGGCAGGAGGGATTTAAGTTAATCCAGCTAACACTCTGAGATTCAGGATTAAGTCAGCATTGCTGCTATTTTAGCCATAAACCTTTATTTCAGCTGTAATAACAGTGCTTCTGCTATGGTCCCATGCTGGGTACCTGGTATTTTAATATGATTATTTTGATAGGGATGTATTTACCTGACCTAGAAAAACAAATTGTTAAATTTTAGGTGCATTTCAATTATCAAGAAAGAGTGTTTCACAGATACTTCCAGCCCATCCTTAAGCCTCATTCCATCTGTCCATCACCTCACTGATCTCTGACCCTCCTCAACTTTGAGCATCACAGCAAAATCAAAGTAAAGATTAGATTTAAAAATCCAGCCTGTTCAAGGTCTATCATAGTCTTAATAATTGAATTTCTGCTTTATGTTTCCAACTTTAAAATACTTTTAGTATTATAACTCACCTGTATTAGTCAGGGTTCTCCAGAAAAACAGAACAAATAGGATATACATTGATATGTAAGAAAAGACCTGTTATAGGAATTGATTCATACAATTACGGAAGCCGAGAAGTCCCACTGTATGCTGTTTCAAGGTGGAAAACAGGAAAGCCAGTGGTGTAATTCAGTCTGAGTTTGAAGACCTAAGAGTCAGGGAGACAGATAGTGTAGCTCTCAGTCCAAGAAGGAAAGGCTGAGAAATGAGCCAGGGTAGGGGGTCCTAGGAGGAAGGGGTATTGGTGTAAGTCCTGGAGTCCAAAGGCCCGAGAACCAAGAGCTCTGATGTTTGAGGGCAGAAGATGAATACTCCAGCTCAAGAGGAGAGAAAATTTACCCTTCCATGGCCTTTTTATTCTGATGCCTTTCAATATTGGTGAAGGGGGCTTCTTCTTTACTCTGCCTACTGAGTCAAATGCTCATCTTTTCTGGAGACACCTCACAGACACATCCAGAAATAATACTTTGCCAGTTATCTGGGCATCCCTTAGCCCAGACAAGCTGACACGTAAAGTTAACCATCGCCCCACTTCAGTCTAAAAGGCCCTTCTGATTCTGCTCCATGCCCCCCTCCCTATAAGGCTTCCCTAGTGCCAATTGCCCACTGACGGCTTTATAGGGTGCCGTCTCCTGAGCTCATGCTACAGGGATCTGAGAAGGTCCTCTGTCACTGTGTCTTGGATATTTCTGCCTGACATTTCCAGCCTCTCGACCAGAACGTCCCCTGCTGCTTCTTTCATTGTATCAGTCCATTGTCATGCCTCATTTTTGCTGATCTGCCAGGATAGCAACTTGATCCTGAGATAGAGCTTCCCCTTTTTTGAAGCCTTCCTTATAGTGGCTCCATTCCATGACATCACTCCTATTCTGCCCTCCAGGGAGCCTCAAAACCACCAGTTAATTCCTGTTCTTCCCAACCTCTATAGCATTCACCTAACTTGTATTATGTTAAAGGTTTTTGTAGTATGCTTAGCTCATCTCCAGTACATGGCCAAGTCCTAGAGAGTAAGCAGCATGCTGTTTCACATTTATGTTTTTCTCAGTCACATTGTCTCACCTACGTTTTCATGCAGAACATTTAAGAAAAAACAAAAGTTTTCATTTTGTCCCACCGTTCTTCTCTGGCCATTCTTTGTTCCTCAAAACTCCTCTGCTTTAGTCAAATACAGTTACTAAATCCTTCTACATCTTAGTTTATATTGATTGTCCAACAGAGGAAAAAGAACCCACCAAAACAACAAACAAATAAACAAACAAAAACAACCTCTTTTCTCTTTCTGTAAATCATATGCTTCTTCCCAAATATCTTGCGTCTCATTTCTTTGTGAGGCATTCCCCCACCTAACCTTACAGTACTTAGCTGTTTCCTCATTTGACAATTCCTCTTTCCTACTTGATTTAGGTTTTATGTATCAGCTCGCCCTCCTTTTATCCCCTTGCTCTCTGAACCTAGTAGGCGTAGGTAGATGAAAGAAAAAAACCTCATGAAAGTGATACCGATGAGCTAAGTTGTTTGGTTATTTTACTTGTTTGTTTGTTTTTTCTTTTTTGAATTTTTTGTTTTGCTTTGTTTTTAGTGGTGGTGGTAAATTTCCACTGGTCCATTCAGACCACCTCATACTGTTTCCATAGTTAAGAATTTGCAAAATAGCTGGGTAGAAGGAGGGGTGCATGCTTTGCTCATGGGTGGGGAAGTCAACTGACCCACAGGAAAACAAAAACCAAAAAAAAAAGTTGTTTTATTATCCCCAGTTGGCAAAACCATGTTTTCTACCAAGAAAGATTCTCATCTGTTAACATAACATCTGTTTTATATATTTCACAGACGCCTCAATTGCAAACAATGGACAACCCACTGAGTTTTGTTTCTGTGAATATATTTATCAGAGATTCAGATATATAAAATATTTTATTTATTGTGCTGATATCATGTGCACATAAGCATTAGATATTATCATCTATCCTTCATAGATGTTAATGCTGCTGATTTAGTTACTATCAGTGGTATCACTAAGGCTGTATAGACCAAAACAAGCATTGCCATATTTTTCATGCTACATGCACAGCCCACACAGCAAGAAAATGGGGACAGCTTACAAAGTATAGGCACATTGTTCTGTAATCTGTACCCATGTTGGATAAATGTTTATTAAAATCCTTTAAAAGTGCCAGCATTATCAAAATAATGAGATAATGCCTTCAAAGTAAAACAAAAATTCAGATAAATAGACAAAACAGAAACTGAGTCACAGAGTTGAAATAGAGATATTATTTTTATCAAAATATTTACCTTTGGTCTTAGGTGACAGGTTAGATGGAAGGGAAACAGCAATTTTGTACCATACTTCTACTCATGAAATGGCTGTGTGGTCCTGAACTGTTTATTGTATATTGCCAAGAAGGAAGGTTTGATGACAATAGAAAGACTAGAACTAACCAAACCACAGGTAGTGAGCGCCAATTGCAAAGGCCACCCTGAACAACGAATGCAATCCAAAATCTTTATACACATCGAATTCTTCTTTAAAACAATACGTTCAGGCACTTGGTTTTGTGTTTTTAAATTCTTGTTACGTTGTTTCCTATTTATTATGGCCAATTTTATATTTGTTAAACAGCTCATCATTTATGATAAAAACTTTGAAATCATTTCAATCTTATTTTATTTGCCACATATGCTATAAAACAAACTGGTTGAATCACCAGCCTTACTTAAAAAGAGAGAAAGCTGGGAATATGAGTGTTGGAGCAACAAGCACAAGGAAAGAGCACTGGAAACTGGCAGGGCTGGAATGCAAAGCCCCACCCCCGACTCCCTGGCCCCAGTTCTTTCAGGTTAAACTGTACTGCTTTTTTTCTGGGTAAATGCTTAATCAGTTTGTTCCAGTCTCCCGCAAAAAAACTAAACTCAAAGTGGAGATTTTCACATATTCCTCTTCTTAGAACAATGGCGTCCTCTTTTGCTGAATGAGTTTCTTTAGGAATTAACATTTATATGTTCCAGATAAGACACTCCAGGGTGTGTATTATAGACGAGCAATGATGTGCCTTGGCAGTTAATGGCACTCAGTCCAAACTACCAGGGCATGTCATTATTAGGTCATAATACCCACCCTGGAGTGTCTTACAGCTTAATTGTTCCCTCTTCCATTCCAGAAACTAGGAAAAGACATATTTTACTCACGTTTCTGCTTTGTTAATGAGTTCAGAGTGGATGAACACATGTGTGCTGCCTGTTCTGCCTATCACACATGTATTCAGAAATAAATGCAGGTCACATAATCCTCAATTCCAGCTTGCATATTTTGCTACACAAAGTTGGCATGGCTTGAATACCTCTGAAGGTAAAGATTTAGAATGCAACATTTGTCTAAATGTTCAGACACTTAAAACTCATGAGGCTTCCCCTTCTACCAATGTCCTTAACATTTATCTCCAGATATCATCTGTTTTTCTGCTGGAAATTTCCACCAAAAGAGTTATATTTTGGTGGAGTATTTTGGACTAGATTCCAGAATAGACTATTTTCAGTCTTTTGAATACATATTAATAATTAGTTGTGGCCTTAATAACTATTTAAGCTTAGGGGTTTTACCCATATTCACCAAAACTCTTCAATCAAAACGGAAAACTCATCATGCACCTTCAGCTGATTCTTCTACCATCAAGTCATGATCTCCTTACAATAACACTTAAAATAACAGGCAAATGGATAGAAGTTACAAGAAGTAGCTGACATAGGCGTGTGTGGTTCTAAAGTATGGCTGTCTAGTAATAAAATGTATTGCTGTGCAAACAAGCATGAAATCAGGCTCCAGATCAATGAGACAAACACAGCCAGGGAGCTATCTAAGGGACACAGCTCTTGGAAAGTTTGTGGTGCAGAAAAACTGGTTTCAGATGGAGTTGCTTAGTCTTGAGTCTTACCCCCAGAATGATAAATATCATATAACCAATAAAGAGATTGACTCAGTAATTTTAAAACTGCCCACAAAGCTTGATGCCCAGATGGCTTCATTGGTAATTTCTACCCAACATTTAAAGAATTAAGGCCAATTCTTCATAAGGTATTCCAAAACATAGAAATGGAGGGAACACTTCTCAAATCACTCTCTGAGGCCTGTATTACCCTGATATCAAAATGAGACAAAGCTAGGAATCAAAGGAAATTTACTCAATCTGATAAAGGCCATCTATGAAAAACCCACAGCTAGTTTCATACTGAATGGTGAAAGACTGAATACTTTTCTCATAAGATCAAGAACAAAACAAGTATATCTATTCTCACCATTTCTACACTGGCAATGAACAATCCAAAAATGAAAGTAAGGAAACAATTTCATTGACAATAGCATCAAAAAAATACTTAAGAATGGATTTAACAGAAGGTACAATATTGCAGTTTCGAAAACTATAAAACATTGATGGAAGAAAATGAAGAATATCTAACAAAAGAAAAGAACCCCAATATTTATGGATTGGAAGACTTAATATCAGATTTCTCTACAGATTTAACACAATTTCTATCAAAATACCAGCTGATTTTTTTTTTGCAGAAATTGACAAGCTAATTCTAAAATGTGTATAGAAACACAGAGGAGCCAGAATATCCAAAACAATCTTGAAAAGAAGAACAAATTTGGAGCACTCATAGTTTCCTACCTCAAATTTACTAGACAGCTACAATAAGCAAGACACTGTGCCACTGACATAAGGATAGGCATATAAATTGATGAAGCAGAATTGGGAGTCCTGAAGTAAACATATACATTTATGGTTAATTGATTTTCAACAAGAATGCCAAGATAATTCAATAGGGGAGAATAATCTTTTCAACAAATTAAGCTGGGACAACAAGATATTCACATGCAAAAGAATGAAGTTGAACCTCTTTCCCCCACCATCCACAAAAATTACCTCAAAAATGTTTCAATCTCAATAAAAGCTAAAACTATAAAACTCTTAGAAGAAAGCAAATGAAACAATCTTCTTTACCTTGAGTTAAGTAATAGCTTCTTAGATATAATAAGAAAAGTTCAAGCAACAAAATAAAACATAGGTAAATTATACTTCATCAAAATTAAAATTTTAGTGCTTCAAAGGACACAATCAAGGAAGTATAAAGTCCCAAAGAATGGTGGAAAATGTTTTTAAATCACATAACTAATGACGAAAGATTAGTATTCAGAATATATGAAAAACTCTTACAACTCACTAATAAAAAGACAACTAACTTAAAAACGGTGAAAAGACCAGGATATACATTTTTTTAAAGAAGATGTACAAATGATCAAATGATCTAGAAACACAGGAAAAAGATGATCAACATCATTATTCATTAGGGAAATACATATCAAAATAAGAGATACAAAGAGATACCACTTTGCATTTATGAGGATGGCTAAAATTAAGAAGACAGGCACTTAAAATACAAAAGACAATAAAAAATGTGAGTAGAGATGTGGAGAAATTGGAGCCACACATTACACTTCCATATATGGGAATGTAAAATGGTGCAGCCACTTTGGAAAAGAGTTTGGCAGTTTCCCAGAATCTTAAGCATAGAGTTATTATTTGACCCAGCAACTTCGCTACAAGGTATATACCCGAAATAAATAAAAAGGTATGTTCACAAAACTTGTATGTGAATATTCAAAACAGCATTATTCATAATAGCCAATAAGTGGGAAAATAAGCAATGTCCATTGACTGATGAATGGATACAAATAAGTGAATAGCCATACAATGGGACATTATATAACAATAAAAAGAAATGAAATACTGATGCATGCTACGACATGGATGAACATTGAAAACGTGGGCTAAATAAAAGAAGGTAGTTACAAGAGAACATATTACATAATATATGATTTCATTTGATGAAATATTTAGAATTGGCAAACCTAGAAAGACAGAAAATAGGTTTGAGCTTGCCTAAGGGTAGATGGGCTAGGGTGTAGGGAGTGACTGCTAATGGGTTCAGAGCTGCTTTTAGGGGTGATGCAAATATCTTAAATTTGATTGTAGTGATGCAATATATTTGTAAATATACTAAAACTACTCAGTTGTATACTTTAAATGGGTAAGTTTTATGGCATATGACTTATATCTCAGTAAAGTCTGAAAAAAGAAACAGTGAAACAGGAGTGTAATGGAATCACAGAATAGCAGCAATATAAAGGCCTAGAAATTAAAAACAGGCATATCTTTCTTTCGTAAACTGAGATAAACGTGAGATGATTATAAACACTAGGAAAACAAATAGCTGTAGATGAAAGATAATGATCAAAATATGTTGAAATCTAAGATACATTATAAGTTTTAGTAATAGTAAATGTCAGGAAAGATAATTCATTTAACCTTGACACTTGTAACACTTTTATTCAAAGTACTAAAACTAATGAGCTAGGATATTGTTTTCTCTAAGTGGCCAAACATGAGTCTATAATAAATTATATTTATGTAATTATATTATAACTTTGTAAATTATGTCAGTTTCAAGTTTATAGAATTAATTCATAGACAGGCACAGAAGACTTACCTGTAGGTTCAGACTAAAATGTGAATGTATAAAATTGGACACTCTGGGCATTACTTACCTTAGTCTTATGCAGGAGAGAATCAAGAGACCCCCCCCCCCCACCCCGTTGTTTCAAAATAAGGAAACAGGAGAATAATTATATTTTTTTAAATTTAAAAGTAAGCAAAAGAAGAATTGAAACTGATTTTTGAAAATCAACAAAAATTTAAGATGGTTTGAAAGGAAGGAGGGGATATTCATTTGCTACCTAAAGCTTATAAAACAAAAAACAGCGGTAAAATCCATATTATTTATGACTATAAAGTTTGAAATATATAAACAAAAATTTTAAAATACTTGCCTGTGGAAAGTGCAATGGGGTGAGAGGTGAGTAATTGTATTTTTCACTTTTTGTAATTATGTAACATTAGAGGCTTTAAGGATCATGAACATGTTACTACTTTTAGGAAAGTAAAAGTACCAGCAACGATAATAAACTGAAGTCTTCCAAAACAAACTAGGAAATTATGAGGAATTATTTTAAAGCAAACAAACAAAAGCAAAACAAACCTCATCAGAAAACTATGGCTGGAGAGGTTCCCAGTCAGTCTGCCACACTTGGCTTTGAGTTTGAGTTCTGAAAATTTCATTCCCGCAGTAGGAATCTGAATTAGTTGGTTTTCAGGCTGCTGATAAAGACATACCCAAGACTGGGAAGAAAACGAGGTTTAATTGGACTTCCAGTTCCACATGGCTGGGGAGGCCTCGAATTCATGGTGGGAGGGAAAAGACGCTTCTTACATGGCAGCAGCAAGAGAAAATGAGAAAGAAGAAAAGCGGAAACCCCTTATAAACCCATCACATCTCATGAGACTTATTCCCATCACAATCATAGCACAGACAAGACTAGCCCCATGATTCAATTACCTCCCACTGGGCCCCTCCCACAACACGTGGGAATTCTGGCAGATAAAATTCGAGTTGAGATTTGGGGGGGGACACAGTCAAACCATATCAGAACTCTAGGGAAAAGGTACACTCTAGGGTGGCAGAGAGTCTCATTAGAGCATTTTCTTGAGCACAGCCACACAGCAATGAGGGTCCCATGCACTGTCCTCTGCAGAGCAGAGCTTTGGGGAATCCTACAGGCATCTACAGTAAGGAACAGCAGGAAGAAACTAAACTCTGCAGTCCTCCAGTTCACTCTGTATTCAGCCCACAGAGAATTCACCTCTCATTGAGAATCTCCTCTCATCAAGGTTATCAGTCCAGCAGTCGATAGCACCGAACCTTTTTATCAGCCCCACTTGGTAATTATAAAATATTTGCAATTATACAATATGCTAATTCTTAGACGACTACAAACAGCTTAATCAATTGAGTGCATTTTATTATTTCTAGTCTAAACATTATGGACTCACATGAAGTCTCTGAGATCAGTAAATTATTCTAGATTGTTAAACTGCTGCCAAATCAATCAGAAATTTTATTTGAATGTATTAGGCTTGCTACATTATTTAGCCAGCAAAATTGAGAAAAAACAACAGAAACAAAGAGGCATCCTGGAGTCACACTGTGAAGCTTGATCAGTTCCCATGAATTACAAGAGGGAGAGCCATAGAAATTCAGGAGAAACAGGATTCACCTGAAACCTCTATTGTCAAGTTGAAACTAATGTCAAGCTAGGTGCTTGAGGCAAGTGTACTTCTTAAAACCACGATTTCCCCTGCCATGATGTGTCTGTGTGTGTGTGCGTGCGTGCAGGTGTGTGGCAGTTGACTAACATCTATGTTGTATTGTATACGTGTGTATGTGTATACGTGGTGTATGTATCTCCAGCTGTGCTACAGAAAAATAAATATATATATATTTTTTAATGCCCAGAAGGACCAACCACATTTGAACATCCCCAAACAGAGCAAGAGATAAAGTGCTCTGCCAGTATTTATGTCTAAATATATTCAACAAGAACCATATATTCCCAAACATAAGGCAAGGGTTTTATCCACCCCAAAATGTATCCCTCCCATGTAGTCAAATTTTTACAAGTTTTTATACCACTGAGTATTACTTCATTGATTTGATTTTTTAACAACTGAGTACTCTTTGGAGAAAACATGTTACCATAAAACCTCCTCAAATAATGCTAGTTTCGGATGCTGAGGGAGATTGCCTGATTAAACAGGTTTAAAACATTAAAAGAAGATAAGCTTAGTGGAGATTTAGCCATTATACTTGGAAGTATAATCTCAAAGTTTCTAGGGCTAGATATTGTTTTAATAAGACAAACTCCCTTTTTAAAACAATATACTCAGTGGTTATGTTGTTTGGATCATGAACATGTTCTTGTAGCATGAGTGGAAATGTTTCCTAATGTTCAAATGAAGGTGTTTGTAACCTGAGATACAACTTCTAATGTCAGCATCATACCTAGATTCAGAGTATGCTTTATTTTAAAAACTGCACTTTGAAGGGAAGATGACATGCCCTGGAGCAATGCTTCTCAAACTTGAATGTGCATACTCATCTTCTGGGAATCTTGATAAAAACGGAGATCTCGACTGGGGGCTAGGAGTTTTCATGCCAATGCTGCTGGTCTCAAGACCTCAGTGTAAATAGTAGAACACGGTGAGGTGACTCAAAATCATTTAATGAAGATGAAGACATTGATCAATGGTGTCAAACATGCAGGTGAAGAGCTGGGGTAAATATTTGCCCATAAAGTGGAACTAGAAAGAAGCCACGCACACATACATAACCTAATGTGCAAATTTTAAATACGCAAGTGTGATTAACTGCATAAACAATTTTAGAAAACATTTGACCATTCCACCTGTGTTTCGAAAGGTTTACATAAAGTTCCCAAACATATTTTTGTTTGGGATACAGACAGGCTGCTTTCTATTCATGGTCATATGTATGGCATTTCTCCTGATAATTTTTTTGCTCTGTTTAGCAGATTTGAGAGACACAGCCAAATTAGAATTTTTTTTGTAGATCAGTTATTTGAACTGGAAAAACATGGGAATGTGTAGATTTCTTTTGGTCAATGATTAAATAGAGTAACATGCTGAATCGACTCATCTCTGCCACATGATGAAAAAAAGTAGTATATGTTTAAAAAAAATAGCATGCCTAGGCTGGGCACGGTGGCTCACACCTGTAATCCCAGCACTTTGGGAGGCCGAGGACGGCAGATCACCTGAGGTGGGGAGTTCAAGACCAGCCTGACAAACAGGGAGAAACCCCGTCTCTACTAAAAATACAAAATTAGCCGGGCATGGTGGTGCATGCTTGTAATCCCAGCTACTGGGGTGGCTGAGGCAGAAGAATCACTTGAACCCAGGAGGCGGAGGTTGCAGTGAGCCAAGATTGTGCCACTGCACTCCAGCGTGGGCAACAACAGTGAAACTCCGTCTCAAAAATAAATAAATAAATAAATAAAAAATAGCATGCCTATGTAATACAGGGTAGGCCATATTTAAAAAACAATTGTACATAGAAGGAGAAGAGGAGAAAGAAACAATTCCTACTGCTAAACTGTATAACCTTAGAACCAGAACTCAAATAGGAGACAGGCATGTGTCTCAGAAGAAAAAGCTATGATAACAAAGGCATTTTTTAAGGGTGGCAAATAAATATGAAAATAATAGACCAGTTAAAACTAAATAAAAATAAGGTGATGTAAGCATGTTTTTAGTTAAATTCAAAAGTTTTTTTGTTTTAATTATCTCTATTATTTTACAGCTATAGACACAAAGTTAAGCTGCCCTCAGAAATGTCTTTCCCCATTGGGTCTCTGTTTTGTTGTAAGAAGGTGTTTCCAAGGGCAACTTCTTTACGTATTTTCTTAAAAATTTCACAAGGTAGAATAGAATATATTATTGCTTTAGTAATGACCTAAGAACTTAACTCTGCTTCTACATGCAAAAAATAAAATAGATGTGTGAATGTAATTGATTACAACTCTTTTTTTCTCAGTTGTTAGCCAGATTGATTGACCTAGCCATAGAAATAAAAATATTAATGTAGCTTTATAATACTGTATTTTGCTTCAGCAATGAAACCACTACTCTGCTGCAAAAAGGATCAATAGCCTTATAATACTTGTTTTAATACTCACAAAATTATTTATATAAAAATTTTAAGTGTCTAGCTTGTTTAAATTGGAATAGAAGCCAAGAGCTGCCTAAAATTGAATATACCTGTACTGCCTGAAAAAAAAAAAGCAGACTAACAAAAAACCAATTAGACTTGGTGAACACAGGGAATACAGAAATGAATGTTAATGTCATAAATATTGTCTGTCTTTTTAAACATAGTGATAGTGGCCAGGCGCGGTGGCTCACGCCTGTAATCCCAGCAATTTGAGAGGCCGAGGTGGGTGGATCACAAGGTCAGGAGGTTGAGACCGTCTTGGCCAACATGGTGAAACCCCATCCCAACTAAAATACAAAAACAAAAATTAGCCAGGCGTGGTGGTGTGGGTCTGTAGTCCCAGCTACTCAGGAGGCTGAGACAAGAGAATTGCTTGAACCCAGGAGGCGGAGGTTGCAGTGAGCCGAAATGGCGCCACTGCACTCCAGCCCAGTGACAGAGCAAGATTCCGTCTCAAAAAAAAAAAAAAGAAAAGTGATATCACAGTTGGTATCATAAGATATTCTTAATTATAAAAGAAACTACTATTAATATACTAATATCTAAAAAGATATCAACAGATAATTATTAGAAGAAAAAACACAAATAACTAATAAATGTGAAAACATTTATTTTCACTGTTAATGAGGAGTAACATTAAAAACAAAAATGAAATAGTTTTTGTAGTTGTGCCCCTTTATATCCAAATGGTAGAAGTATATTTGGTTTGACTTTTTTAGACTGTTTGACAATCTGTGTGAAGAGTCTTAAGGATGGATGCACCCTTTGGGTTAGTCATGATGCTTCTAGGAATATATTTTAATAAAGTAGTTAGAAATATAAACAAAATTCGTGAGCAAACATATTCAGCACAGATTTTTTTTTTTTTTTTTGAGATGGAGTCTCACTCTGTCTCCCAGGCTGGAGTACAATGATGTGATGGCTCACTGCAACCTCCGCCTGCTGGGTTAAAGCAATTCTTGTGCCTCAGCCTCCTGAGTAGCTGTAGTCCTCCTGACTACAGGCACTGGCCACCACATCTAGCTAATTTTTGTATTTTTGAGACAGGGTTTTGCCATGTTGGCCAGGCTGGTCTCGAACTCCAGATCTCAAGTGATCTTACCCACCTTGGCCTCCCAAAGTGTTGGGATTACAGGCGTGAGCCACCTCGCCTGGCCAGGATTATTTTTTAATAGTGAAAAATTGGGAATAACTCAAATGTTCAACAATAAGTTAAGTTATGGTATGCCACGGCCTGTATGTGTCTTCCCAAAATTTGTATGTTAAAACCCAGGCACCAATATGATAGTATGAGGAGGTGGGGCCTTTGGGAGGTCACTTGATAATGGATGGAATTAATGCCTTCATACAAGAGGCCCGACAAAGCCCTTTTGCCCCTTCTGCCATGTAAGAACACAGCAGGAAGACCACCGTCTATCTATGAACCAGGCCCTCACCAGACCCCAAATGTACTGTTTCCTTGATCTTGGACTTCCCAGACTCTAGAACTGTGAGAAATAAATTTCTATTGTTTATGAGCCATCCAGTCTATAATATCCTTTTATAGAAGCCCAGACAGACAGACATGGTACAACTATAAAATAGGCTATTTTATATTAATTATACTTTTGAAAAATTTTAATGACATAAGACAGTGACACAAAGAAAACTACATATATAAGTTAAATATTGCATTTATGAGCATATATATTCATAATTACACATTTTATATAGAAAAAAAGCTGGATGGAAGCCCATCAATTTCTTTTCCTTTTAATTTTATTCTACTTTGTATTTTGCCAGTTCCCCCTCCAAGCCCATTTAAAGGATATTGTACCTTTAGGGTCAGAAGAAAACGCAATAATAAAATTTATTTTAGGTATAGGTTATATAGATTATGGTTTCCAGAGAAGGTAAAAAAATTTAAGATGCAATCATCATGTGATGGGTCCTAAATTATACCAGTTTGTGCCACACTGTACACTAGTGCACCAACATTTTTCAGTAATAAGGATTTTTAGATGGGCTTCTCTTATAGTAACTTTCAGAATATCATTAGGAAATATTTCATTTGTTCAGTAGCAGATAATGAATTCAGAGATGAAACATTTATATATATACACATTTTTACCTATAGTATTAAAATCACTGATCAATCATCGGGGGAGGCTATAGGAAGAAATTTGTTTTGCATATTTCTTCTCATGTTTTTGCATTCTCATCTCACAGAGCGCTTGTAATGCTGTCCATCAGTCACCATTACCTTCAGGTCTGGCTCTATTGCTGATTGCTTTCAAAAGTCCTGCAGCTGAGAAGAGGCCCTAGAGAAACATTCTAGTCATGTAGGCACCGTAGCTTAAAACCACTTTTAAGAACTTGGCTTCAAATCTAGCTTCCTGGTTTGACTTATAACAAGATGCTTGCAATGGCTTGCAGCAAGATGCCATTGCTCTCATGAAAGATGGCAAAAGAACTATTAATGACACTAATTAAGATGTGTGAATATCATTTAGATACTCCTCCTTGTTGCTTTCCAAGTACAAGCTATGTTACCTTACACATTAATTGGTAATGACACAATCGCATATCTTTCAACTACAAGGTCAGTTTTTAAAGCAGGGCTTTTATTATTAATGTGCTTTAAGTTTCAACACCGTCCACGCAGAGATTCCATTAACAAACTTTACTGTGCTCCTCTTTAACCCCATTACAGCCATATCCCCTCCCACCCATGCTGAATATTATGGTATTGTGGGCTGGAGCATTTCAAATCTTTATCTGGCCTTAAATATAACTGCTAAAGCATTGTATATACACGCATAACCTATTTGTTTAATAATTTTTACCTTTTGCATTATTTATTTATTTATTTTTTGAGACGGAGTCTAGCTCTGTCGCCCAGGCTGGAGTGCAGTGGCAGGATCTCGGCTCACTGCAAGCTCCGCCTCCCGGGTTCACGCCATTCTCTTGCCTCAGCCTCCTGAGTAGCAGGGACTACAGGCGCCAGTCACCATGCCTGGCTAATTTTTCTGTATTTTTAGTAGAGACGAGGTTTCACCGTGTTAGCCAGGATGGTCTCAATCTCCTGACTTCGTGATCCACCCGCCTCGGCCTCCCAAGCCTTTTGCATTTTTAAATGTGCCCATTCCCTGGTCCTTTTTGACCAGTCAAACAAAATCCAAATGTTACTTATTTGAAATCTGCTCTATTCATTTATCCAGCATATCTTCCTAAAGTAAGCTTTATGTCTCTAAAGTAAAAACATAGAAAATAAAAGAATATTAAAGTGTAACTTCTACTAATATAATGCCCCACTTATAGATCTTTAAACTTTTAAACAACATGGAATAGTAAAGCTAGAAGAAAATTTTAGCCCCAATAACTTATTTTACAGAAGACAAAAATGGAAGCTCAGAAAGTCTAAGTCACTTGACCAAGGTTTCAGCACCAGAAAACAAGTCCTCCTGCTCAGTGTGAGGTATCTGCTTGTAAGCAGGCATCCCTCTCTGAGATTGAGCAAGGATTAAGAAAAGCCTGTTAAATCACATGCCCCCTTCCTATTTGATTTTAGTAAACATCTACAAATGCCAGTCAGGTAATAGGAACCTACATTTATGCAGAACTTGGTAGTAGTCAAATGTTCATTTCTCTCATTCATGACTTCATACAATTTTCACAATGACTTATGAAGTATGTGTTATTCTCTAATAGCATATCTAAGAAGAGTTTTTGGTTGTGTGATCACATATGAAAGACTACTTGCTTTAGTATAAAACTCTTGAGTATTTTTTCTCCTCTTCCAGATCTCTGTAACAATTCTGTCATTGTTATCTGACATTTGAAATTGGTGAAGAGAAGTCTCAGGCCTACCTGATGTGCTCCTTTGGAAGTAATGTTTGTTTTCTCCTGTATGAGATGCTTTCAGGACATGTTGTTTGTCTTCACATTTAAATATCATCTTCATATGTCTTTATGCAAATCTTTTTTTTTTTTTTTTTACTTTTACCTAGGTTCATTGGATCTGAAGATATAGGTTGTGATGATTAATACTGAGTGTCAACTTGATTGGATTGAAGGGTGCAAAGTATTTTTCCTGGGTGTGTCTGTGAGGGTGTTGCCAAAGGAGATTAACATTTGAGTGAGTGGACTGGGAGAGGCAGACCCACCCTCAATCTGGGTGGGCACCATCTAATCAGCTGCCAGCAAAGCCAGAATAAAAGCAGGGAGAAGAACGTGGGAAGACAGGACTGGTTTAGTTTTCTGGCCTCCATCTTTCTCCCATGCTAGATGCTTCCTGCCCTTGAACATCGGACACCAAGTACTTCAGCTTTAGGGCTCGGACGGGCTTCCTTGCTCCTCAGCTTGCAGATGGCCTATTGTGGACCTCAACTTGTGACAGTGTGAGTCAATATTCCTTAATCAACTCCCCTTTATATATACATCTATCCTATTAGTTCTTTCCCTCTAGAGAACCCAGACTAATACATAGGTCTTCAATACAAGAAAGTTATCATTGCTTAAAGTTTATCATTGCTTAGTTAATTTTTGTCTTGTCTCTTCTTTGAGAACATTAGTTATATTCAGGTTAGCTTTTTTCTTCTAAATTCCGTATCTTCATCTTTTCTCACTACTTTTTTTTCGGTATTTATCCTTTTCATCTGCATTCCAGGAAAGCTCAATATTATGGTCCATATTAGTGTTTTAATTTTCCACAACATCAGTTCGTTCTTTACTGCTCCCAACACTGATTCAAGTTTTATGATTGCTACTCCACCTTGATTCACCCAACTCCTTTTCCTCTCAACACAGTCTCTTTTTATTCCTGTAGTTCCTGATTCATGGAGTTCATAAATGTTTCTATCATATTGAAGACATAGAGCACTTTACTACATTTTAAGAATTCTTGTGAAGTCATTTCCAAAGATTTTTTTTTCAGGATGATGTACCATTTATTCCACACTGTATCTTTCTCTTGTCTTTATCTCAAATGAGGGAATGCATGTATAGTTCTTGTGTTTGTCAATGGTCAGGGTATCTAGATTTTCCTTGTTCCTCCTACTGATGGTGGAGTTGGGGGTTAATAGAATCCTCTGTGTCTCTGATTGAAACCTAAAGAACACTGATAAGATCAGTGCTTAACCCAATTTTCCTTGTCTAGCTCTGTGTTCCATATTTGCACAGTAAGGATGGGGGTCAAGTGCATATACTATTTGGGAGAGGATATCCTCCTTGAAAAATCATATTTCATGTGATTATAACTAAACTATGCTAACCCTGGCAAAATCAAGGTTAGGTAGAAATACACTAAAATTAGGTCAGAATACATTGAAGACGGTATGGACTATAACATGTTGAAAGGCACTGGGATGATAGTCATTGAGCTAAAAACATGGGAAAATTGAACCACATTTCAGGTTTCTTTCCACCTACTCTTCTTTATTCATTGTAACTAAGCTTCCCTGGATCTAGATACCACTGCCCATCTTTTTAATTTTTCTCTTATATTTAAATGTGCAGTCTAATACATGGCTTCAAAAGGAATTGTTAATTGAGGGGGTTGCAGATAGTATTCAGGTCACCTCAAAATGTAGCATGTGTGCACAGAAGGACAGCCAATTCTCAGGTTAATACTTCAGATTCAGAATGCTGGTTCAAGAAGCAGGCCATGGGGGAGGAAAGAAGCCCCAGTCTGTCTTCTCAGGGGAGTGGGTTTGCTCCTTCAAGCAGCAAAATCTGTGAGTGCTTCTGATTATATTTCTCTATTCCTCTCTATAGATCTTGTTGTTGATGGAATTTTCTTCAAAATTTTGGCATTTCGTGCAACATCAGTCTTGGTGCTCCATTTTCTTGGAGAATTTTCATCCTTTCTTTATCCTCAAAAGTCTTCTGGAAGGAGTAAGAAGAAGCTGCCTCAGAAACTGTGAAACACATGCCATGTTAGTTCTAATTTTAGTCCCAGATCACTCAATTCAGTTGTGCAGATAAATGAATTGTCACAACTATTTACAGAACCAAATTGAGAACAATCCTCTCTTATCCTCACCTTACCATCCCGAATCAAATCTGCCTGGGAACAAATCTGGTATTAGATGTTTCTTCTTTAGTATGAAATCATGTCAATATGTTAACTTTCCACATATATCAATCTAAAGCTTATTTCTAATTAAGCAATAGCTACAAATTAAAGGAATTTAAAGCATCACTGCACAGGCAGCAGAGGTTTTCTTCTAAGCCGAAACCCTGTGGGAATCATAACCCGGATGATATAATAGGCAGCTTGGATTTCCTGCTAGGAAACCCGGCTCTATCATTTTCATGGACTGGGCCACTTTATCCCCATGTCTGCATTTTAAACTCTCTTTTATTCTGATTGTAGGTAACAAAATAAATATGAAACAAATTCATAAACAATATTGGAAAAAGCTGTGCATTTTTCTGAATTTCAACAAAGCACGTGGCCAGATCTCTCAAGTTATTCCAGGGACAGAGTGATCTGGGGTGGGGAGTTAGGTGGATTTCTTTCCAGACATTCAGCCGTAAGTAATTAGCAGTCAGCCTGGCACTGGGCACCAGGGTCCCTGGGATGATGGCAGAGGAAGGCATGATTTTCCAAATTGATGGATCTCATGTCATTGGGAGGAATGAGAAACGAATTGAATGACATTGTCACTGTCATCACATTTTTACAGATGAAATCCAAACAGATCATAGTAAACTGCATGAGCATGGTGGAGAAGGGACACTACAACAACATCATTTGGTCAAGTAGTTAGGGGTTGATGGGTTGAAGTCTCACCATATGTTGACATTGTTATGAGATGGCCAACACAAATGAAAAAATAGGCATGTATAGTGTCTAGGAAAGGAAGATGATAGTCTTCTTTCACTATTCACAGCTCAGATCTCGGCAGGAAGTTAGGGCTTCACTTGGGTGCCATTTAGAATAGTAAGGAATTAGAACATATCTGGGTGAGGGTAATCAGAATGTAAAACCGTAGAAACTGACATGGTGTGGAACAGGGAAAGGTCAATCATACTTGGACAGCCATTTATTAAGGATGTACTGCTCAGACCCATCCTTTGTAGAGAGTTGCGCTAAGTGACCTCCATGATGTCTGTAAACTCTAAAATTCTAACACTTTGGAATTATTGATTTAATAGTTTTTCTTCACTCTCCTATCAAATAGATGGCTTTGAAGAGAAAACATAGCAGTAAAAATGTCCAAATAGTATTTCTATTTGGGAGGCTGAGGCGGGCAGATCACATGAGACCAGGAGTCTGAGACCAGCCTTGCCAACATGGCAAAACCCTGTCTCTACTAAAAATACAAATATTAGCCGGACATGGTGGTGGGTGCCTGTAATCCCAGCTACTCGGGTGGCTGAGGCATGAACATCCTTTGAGGCCAGGAGGCAGAGGTTGCAGTGAGTCGAGATCAGGCCATGCACTCCAGCCTGGGTGACAGAGCAAGACCCTCTCTCTCAGGAAAAAAAAAAAAAAAAGAATATGGAACTCAAATTATTTGCCTCAATAGTTCCAACCTGGAGCTTGAACTTACACCTTCTAACTCCCAATCCGTTTATCTTTTCCATTTAGTGATTCTGGGTTACTAATCTTTTTTAATACTTGGGAGAAGAGAATAACCAGCTTCTACTTCTCCTTAACTATTCTAACTAAAACTGATTTTCAAGGCATCATTTTATACAAAATTTCCTTCTGCCAACAAATAATGTATGATTTGCAGAATAAAGTATTACTTGAAGCTAGCCATTGCTTTCTTCACTCTGAAAAACATAGAGCATAGAACTGGCGGCTCTTCACTTTCCCCTTCTCTTTGTTCTTTAGCACTTCTTTTTTTAACCTGTTGTATTCCAACTAACTGTTTTTAGGCCTCTCATCTCCACTCTGCCATGAATTCTCAAAGAGGAAGCATCAACACTGATTTCTCTTTGTATTTAGGGTCTAGAACAATTTCTGATATATGGGATTACTCAATAAACGCTAAATAAATGATCAAATGTAGTATTTACTTATTTATTTAGCAAATACTTATTCAATATTTGATTCCTCTCCCCCATATGCTAAACATAGAGAATCTAAAAATAATTAAGAAATACCCACTGTTTATCAAGAACACATCGCCCAGTGGGTAAGACAAGTACTTTAGCAAACAAAGTATCCCAAGTATCAAAATGCAAATTGAGTAAGGCATTGTGGGGATTAGAAAATAACCATAAAAATCAGAGGCAGGAAATATGCATTCTACCTGGGAATTAAAGCTCTCTTTAGATTAGTGCTAACCCTGGAATAAGCAGCTAACATTTATTTTATGTTTTATTTATTTATATTTATTTATTTCTATAAATTTATGGGGTACAAGCATAATTTTGTTACTTGCATAGATTGTGTAGCAGCATAGTCAGGGCTTTTAAAGTAATGGCCTCCAGATCCATCTATATTGCGGCAAAAGACAGGATTTCATTATTTTTTTATCACAAACTAACACTATAGCACAAAACTAATAGTTTTGATATCACAGAACTAACATTGTGATTTAAAGGAAACTGACTTTCAGTCTAATCTACGGATTTTTCAACAAATCACCAAGATAATAGAATGGCATGTGTTCTGGGTTGTTCTAATATTACCTAGTGTGGGAGGATCTACTAGAGCCACAGCTCTTAGGATGCTAGAAACCAAGTACAGGATAATTTAGTGAATATGCTCTAGAAAGTGGTTCTAGATGCCCCCTAAGCAAGAGGTTCATTGACTGTAAACTTTAAGTCCTTCATAAAATATCCAAGGTGTGACATTTTGCCAACTTCCAGAGCTTCTGGAAAAATATTCTGCCCAAGAAAAATCTGTATTTCTAGTTTTGAATTAAGAACTCAGTTAATGAAAGGGGAGATGAAGGTACTAAGGGTTTCTTTCTTTCTCTTTCCTTCCTTCCTTCCTTCTTTCCTTCCTTCTCTCTCTCTTTCTTTCTTCCTTCTTTCTTTCCTTCCTTCCTTCCTTCTTGCTTCCTTTCCTTTTTAAATGACACACACTTGGTAACAAGTGAGCTTCATTCCAGAATAACATGTCAAAACCGAGGTGAAATACTATCTATAATAAATGAGGCTTCTCATGGTTATCAGGTAGCACATTTTCTCAGGTAATGAAGTCATTGTGTTTTGCATGGCTTTATTCTTTTAGGCAGAGGAGAAGGGAAGGAGAGGTTGTTGGTATTTTGTGCCTTCCTTTTTTTTTTTTGATGGGTTTCTTTCCATTCTTCTTGTGCCAATTGTAATGTTTTATGATTATTCATGACTTAGACAATGGTGCTTTAGGCAGTCAATGGCAATTATGCTTGTTGAGAAGAACATATAATTCAAATTAGACCAATATAGATTTTCCCCCTTTAATGTTTAGTTACCCAGTTAGATTTAAACTGAGTATACAACATTTAATAAATGATTTTCACTAAAACCTAACTGACATTTAAAAGTAGTGTGGTTTTTTGTTGGTGGTAATACAGGAGAGTAAGATAAAATATTAATTCACCTAAAAGGTATATCTTATCAGTTCAAATTAAATCCCTCACATTTATACATTGTGTGATGTATTTGTATTTGTGGCCTGAAAATGGTAACTTTGTACATTATCCAGTAAGTATGCAAAAATCAGCCGCATTAGGCATCTAAGTAATTTGTCTTAATGAACAATAAATTCATACGTGGTTTAAGTTTGTAAATCTAAGTTTAGCAATATACAGAATGAAATTTTAAATACACATTATTTACTACTCAGAAATTAAAAGCTGAAATAAGTAATAACACAAACATCAGATGAAAAACTGTAGACTTCTATGGACTGAACTGCATCCCCCAGATTCATCTGTTGGAGCCCTAACTCCCAGAGTGACTGTATTTGGAGATAGGACATTTAAGAAGGTAATTAAGATTAAAAGAGATCACATGCATGGGGTCCTAATCCAATGGGACTGGTGTTCTTATAAGAAGAGGACAAGAAATCAGAGCTCCTTCTCCATGTTCAGAGAAGAAAAGCCATAGGAGGACGTAATGAGAAGGCGGCTGTCTACATGCCAAGAAGAGAGCCCTTACCAGAAACAAACCCTAACCATCTGTTGACCTTGGACTTCCAGTTTCCAGAACACAGAGAAAATAAATTTCTGTTGTTTAAGCCACTCAGCCTGTGGTATTCTGTTACAGCAACCTGAGCAGGTGAATACAGTGGAGTTTTTAAACACCTGTATATATCCTATCAGCTAGCCAACACTAGGATCAGCTGAGTTGATCTTTTTACTGAGTTCCAGACTTCACTAAGTCTGGATGAGTGACCAGTGACTTTTCAGAAAACCATCAGGTACATTTTCCGTGTATCTAGGATAGCAATGGTCTACTGAAGCCCAAGGTTTTGCCTAGTGGTGCACATTATGAAAAATTGCCTCTATTTTCACCAACTGTATGTGAAGCATTTAACCAAGAAGTGCCAATAACTGTTGACTGATTTACTTTTAAAATTAGCAGCGATCTTAAAATTATCCAGTTAAACTCTCTGGGAGCAGCATACGACTGTGGAAAGACTGGTTCCAGTGCCAGGCAGGCTTGAGTATGAATCCTGGCTCTATCATGCAGGTGTAAGGGGGCATGAGGCTGGCTGGAGACTTAGCGTCCTTGTGTTTCAGTGTCCTTCTTAATAAAAAGGGAATCATAATAATGACAATAAAGTTGAGCATTAGTAACAATAATATGTTGATCTTAAGAGTCTTATGAGAATTAGTGACAATGATTATAGTACTCAGTATAGTGCCTGGCAACATAGCAATTACCCAAGGAAAGTGGAGGCTGTCATTACTGTGACAATGTTGAAGATGATGCATGAATATCTCTATACCTAAGAAAGCCAGAGGCTAGAGAGTTGCAAATCTATTCAAAGATGACTCCCAAAGGATATTCATATTAAATTTTGGATATAATAATTAAAATCTTTGATAATGTAGAAATAGTTTAGAGGCTGAGAGCCTTGGTTATACCACAACAAATACCTTTCAACACTTTAGACTCCCCTAATTTAAATGTCCAACTGTGTGCTTTTGAATTTGAGGTAGTTGGGCAGTATCTGTTCATTTGTTTCTTTGTTTTTAGCCTCACTATGTATTTTTCTCTCAGACATGTGGCTTAGACCAAGATGTTCAAGGGGATGATAACAGGTTAGATTTTTCAGTTCAGTCAGGTTTGCAGGCAGACTGGATATAGAATGAAGAAAAAAATCACAGTCATGGATAACTTGACACTTTTTGGCCAGAGTAACTGAGATGGGGAAGGTTTGGGGAGAAAGATCTGGGTTTCCATTCTGGACATAGAAAGTTAAAATCATGTTGTGTTTTAAAACTAAAAATAGTGTGGTTCTGCTGCAGCAGGGGGAGAAACACACCCTGGGGAGATGAGCAGGTGGCAGGTCCACAGGTCACAACAAGGAACTCAGGTAGGACCTCATAAGCAAAGGTGAGGAGATGGAGGTTTGTGATATGGTGGAACAATGTGCTTCAGGGATTAATTTATACTAGTGATAGGACAGGAGGCAGAGAAATTCTAGGCAGAAAAGGGCGGGTCCCTGGTGAGGCCCATCCTCAAGCTGAAAAGCTTGAGACTGCAGCCCAAAGTGAGAACTTACATCCCCGTTTTACTGCTCAAATGTTGCCTTTTCCAAAACCAACCATGGGCCTTCTGAGCCCCTGTCCTGTGCCCATAAAAACCCCAGACTCAGCCAGCAGAGAGGAAAAGCAGCTGGACATCGGAGACTATGGCTGGACCTCAGAGGGAAGCAGCTTGACTTCAGAGGGACAGCTTCCTGGCATAACTTCCAAGAAGAATCCATCCAGAGATGGTCAGACTTCAGGGGAAGATTATCTTCCCATCCCATCCTCTTTCCAGCTACCCTTCCCTCTGACAGCCACTTTCATCAGCAATAAGATCCCCCACATTTACCATCCTTCAATTTGTTTGTGCGACCTCATTTTTCCTGTACGCCAGACGAGTTTGGGAGTCACAAGTGCAGATACAAAAGGCTGTCACACTTGCCCTTTGCTTTTGCTGGCAGAAGCCAGCTGCCTCATGTGAAAAGGCAGAGGGTCCTCTGAGTTGTTTACACGTAAGCCATCCGCAGAGCTAAAAGAGAACTGTAACCCTCCTTCTGGGGCTTCAGGGTCTCAGGCACCTCCCCAGATGCTGTCACAGGGCCTGCATGGAATTTGCTCCTGCTGGTGCCCAAAAGTGCTCACCCTGGATCCTGCACACACTCACCTGTGCACTCCCTCCCATGACGGGTGGAGTGCAGTGAGTCCAAGTGAGTGGAGTTCATTTCTGCTGGGGCTGAAGTGGACAGCTGATTCCAGCATTCATGCATTCCAGTTCCCGCTTTGTTCACTTGCATGCTCCCTCCCATGAGGAGTTGAAAACTGCAGGCTGGGTAAACAAGGCACCCCTGCTGTGAGTCCTGTGAAGGGGTTGGGGGAAATACCCTGTTTCACAAGTGTTTTCTGTCCTTTCTCTCTCTCTCTGTTTTTTTTTTTTTTTTTTTGGACAGAGCATCCTGTCACCCAGGCTTTAGTGCAGTGGTGTGATCTCAGCTCACTGCAATGTCTGCCTTCCAGGTTCAAGTGATTCTCCTGCCTCAGACTCTTGAGTAGCTGAGACTACAGGTGTGTGCCAACACAATGGCTAATTTTTGTATTTTTTGTAGAGACAGTATTTCTCCATGTTGCCCAGGCTGGTCTTGAAGTCATGACCTCAAGTTATCCACCCGCCTCGATCTCCCAAAGTGCTGAGATTACAGGCGTGAGCCACAGTGCCTGGCCAACACTTGTATTTTCTTTAAGACCAGATCATTAGCTCCTTGATGGCCTATATATTCTTCTTTGGTTGTTGTTCTTCCTTGTTTTGTTGTTGTTTCATAATCCCTCAGAAAGAGCTATGCTCACTATTCTCACTTAACAATTTCTATGAGAAAATAGATTTGTTGGCATACTTTTTTTTGGGTGGGGGGGCTGGTCAAATCATGTGACTCTTTATATTTTCTCATTTACAGGATATTGCAAATTATCTCAGAGGGATATAGCAGGAATTAAATGGCTCAGTTTTAGAACTTTATCTAATACTGTAAATACATTATTAAATACTAAATGATAATAATTCCACAAAAATATCTGACCTAGTTATACATTGGGAGCCTGTGAAACTCTGACAGAAACCAAAGAGTTATAGAGGTAAGCAATGGGGTAGGGATGAGAATTAACTCGATCAGGACAGACTCAGTTTCCAACCTCCCTTAATCCTGCCATCCAAAGAGGTTTGATGAAGGCTCAGCCCTCTTGGGATAATGGTGAGACTACCTAAGGAATTCTTATATTTTCTTACTCATCTGGGGCAACTCTAATGCATTTTGAAGAAATCAAAGAATAACGCTTATTGTCATGCCCTTGTGGGGATGCATGCTTGGATCTTGGTCATGGATGATATCTCTGTTTCCCATCTGGTAGAAAATTCAAATTTTGGAGCAATTACTGAGAAATTGAGCAGCAGTGTATTTACAAAAAGAAAGAACTTACATTTACAGCATAGAACGTATTTTCACATATGCACATCATAATGAATAATAAACAAACTGGGGTCATTAGCAATGTAGTAGTCCATTGTAAAAATAAGGACAAAGCATGAAGAAAGTTTCAAGAAATAATATAAAAAGTAGAATTACTTAGCTTACAAAATAATAGTGTCCTGGGTTCATCTTTAATTCTTTCCTCTCATGCTGACCTCTGAGCAGTTAGCAAATTCTTTCCTTTCTAATTTGCAAAATCTCTTCCATCTATACAAAATTGAATCATGATATTCTCTTATGAACTAGGGTTTTCCAGAGAAACAGAACCAATAGGTTATCTATCTATCTATCTCTATATCTATATTTATAAAGATATTTAAAAATCGGCTCATGCGATTGTGGGGGCTAGCAAATCCAGCACTTACAGGGCAGGCCAGCAGGCTGGAAACTCAGGTGGGATTTCTACACTGCCATCTTGAGACAGAATTTCTTCTCCTCCAGGAAATATGTTTTTGCTCTTAAGCCTTTAACTGATTGGGTGAGGCCCACCTACATTCTTTACTTAAAGTCAACTGACTGTAGATATTAGCCCCATCTGAAAAATAGCTTCACAGTAACACCTAAATCAGTGTTTAATGAAGTAATTATGTACTACATAGACTATCAATTTGACACAAAGAACTAACCACTACACCTCTACTTCAGACAACTTAGTTACTGCCCATTGATTCTAAAACTAAGTCTAATCTTTAGAAAGGGTATTTAAGGTCTTTCTGATCTGACCACATATGTTCTTTCCAGTGTAATCTTCCCTTACATTCTCTCGTCTTACCAGGTTATTCATTGTTTTTTTGCCAAAGCAGGTCCTGGCACACCTCCACATTTTCATACTAAAGTGTAGGTTCCCTAAGGTAGTGATTCTGTCTCAAGCTCACTGCTTAAAAATGTGGGAGTAGGATAGGTTATCTTATTTGCTCTCAATTTTAGCTGGCTGTCTCTACTATTCTTATCCCTGGACATCATATTTGACCCCACAACTTTTCTTGCCCAACGAGATGCGAGCATAAGTGATATAGGACAGAAGATGTAAGACACGTTGTATGGTTCCTGTTCCTGGTTCTTCCATAGCTCTTTCCCCACTGCTGTGAGACTGATAAGTCAGCTTGGGTCCGGGAATGAAGAACAAGGCACAGAACTGTAGCAAAGTAAAACAACATAAAGAGAGAGAGAGAGAGAGAGAGAGAGACATGTACTATGAATAAGAAACACATTTTTCTTCCTCATATGGCACTAAGGTTTGGTATTGTTTGTTACTTCAGAATAATCTAGTGAAAGCTGACTGATATAAGCAGACATCCACATATCTGATAAACGAAAATATAAATGAATGAATGAAGTTGAAGTTCACTTCTCCTGAAATGCCTCTTTTTGTGCCATTTTCTGCATTTGAAATTTCATTCGTCCTTTAAAGAATAGCTCAATAGCCATCTCCTGTTATTTTCAGCTGTGATTGATGCTTTGCCAATTCTCTCTGCCCAAAAATCTTTTTTTGCATTTAAGATCCTCTCCTTCCAGTGGGTATTCAGGAGCAAAATTGCTGGTTAAAAAGAACCATTACTGTTGATGTCTCTAAATACATATTTAATTCATTTTTGATTTCCAGTGACTTGTTTGTTTCCAAGTGAGCTGTTAGCTCTTCAACTATGTCTTCATTGTATCACTCACACAGCAATCACAGGCTCTCAGTAAATGTACATTGTTGGTGAAGTCAGAGTAGCTTCAGGAAATAATATGACCTTATTTGGATGATAGCATGCAGCTCTTCTTTAGTGAAAAAGCCAAAGAGGCTTGGGTTAAATGTAAAGGAAACATATGACAATGACACTTCGGTGGATTGCAGAAAAATTTGAAGTCAAACACAATGGTCAAAAGTTAGGGTATATTTTCCTTGATGAGAAAGCTCAGGTATAGCCATAAGGAAAGTTTCTGTTGAATACACACTAGGTGTCAGTCACTTTACTGACATTACTTAATGTCATATTTCAACAGCCATACTTTCACATATTTGGAAAATGTTGCTTAGAGAGGTTAAATTATTTTTTTGTGGTCAATCTTCTAGAAAGCAGTAGAGCTAGAAATTAAACCCAGGTGTGCCTCAGTCTGCAGCTCAGTTTTAACCATACTGCTTCTTTAAAGAGAAGATTTAGGAAGATCTTTTTGAGCTCTAAGCTCCCACACAGTAATCCCTCCTAATAGAAAACTTGCCCTAACCAAGGTATTCACTAAAGTCCCAGAAGGCATTGCCCCTGACCTAGCAATTTTACTTGAGAGTATGGCAAGGAGGAGTCTCTAGCATAGTAACCAGAAAAGATGAATCTATTGAGACAGAGAGTAGATTAGGGCTAGCCTGAGGCTTGGGGTTGGAATGGAGAGTAACTGTAAACAGGCACGAGGGATCTTTTTGGGGCAATAAAAAATGTTATAAAATTGGATGGTGGTGATGGTGCACAACTCTGAACATTCACTAAAAATCATTGAACTGTATACTTTAAAAGGGTAAATTTTATGATCTGTAAGTTACATTACAATAAAGCTGCTAGAGAAAAACAGAGTTGTCTAACCATCATAGGTGTTACATATACATCCAGTGGTGTGTCACAAAATGACATTTTGGTCAACGACAGACTGCATATATGATAGTGATCCCATAAGATTATAATACCAGATTTTTACTGAACTTTCACTACATTTGCGTATACAGATACTTCCCATTGTGTTACAATTGCTTGTAGGATTCAGTATAGTAACATGCTATACAGGTCTGTAACCTAGGAGCAATAGGCTACACCCTATAGCCTAGGTGTGCAGTAGGCACTACCGTCTGGGTTTGTGCAAGTCCACTCTATGATTGTACAACCATGAAATCGCCTAATGACGCAATTCTCAGAAGGTATCCCTATCATTAAGCAATGCATGACTGTACGTATACACAGATGGTCCCCAACTTATGATGGTTGGGGTTATAATTTTTTGACTTTATGATGATGCAAAAGCAACAGGCATTCAGCAGAAACTATACTTCAAATTTTGAATTGTGATTTTTTTTTCCCACGGCTGGCAATATACGATACAATACTCTCTCCGGATAGTGGACAGCAGCAGCAAACCACAGCTCCTACTCATCCACGCAATCACAAGGGATAACAACCACTACTCTATAGTGTACTGTTGCCAGATGACTCTGGCCCACTGTAGGCCAATGTAAGCATTCTGAGAACACTTAAGGCAGGGTAGGCTAAGCTATGATGCACAGTAGGTTAGGTGTATTAAATGTGTTTTCAACTTTTTTAGCTTATGATGGATTTATTGGGACATAATCCCATTGTAAGTCAAGGAGCATCTGAACACACACACACACACATACACACACATATATATATATAGAGAGATACACATACATATATGTATTTATAAGTACATATATAAATACATCAATAAGCAAAAGTAGCAATTTTTTCAAACACCATCTGAGAACTAGCCTTTTAATGTTAATAATAAATATGATAACCACAAAATATTTGTATTCAGTTCAAGCTGTATAACAAAATGCTTCCCTGTCCTACTGTATAATTAATAAAGCTGACTTGTTTTTTAAGTATTCTCACTCAGACTTTTTGCCAGGTCAAACTGAGTTTTCCTAATTTAAGAAAATGAGAAAGTTTATTTTTCTGCATTACAGAATCGTGGATGCTCCTTCAATTGTCTGTGCTTATGGAAGGTGCTAGGAAACTGAGCACCCATGTCTAATCTCCAGCTCCTATTTTGGACACTAAAAGTGCTGCTCTACAAGGAATATGGAGAATCCATTCAACTTTTGCGTTGTATTCCACTGATACACACAATGTTCTTTAAATCTCGTGGTCAGAAAAATGCTGTGTGCTTCACTAGTTGACATTTCATCTATATTTTCCAGTGACATTTGTTTTAACACTTTACATAGCAATGGACCAAAAAAAAAATACATATCTCTCTAGCCAAGACCAGTATGAGCCACGTAAGACTCACAGGAAAGCAATTAACTTAGTACTCTGAAAGTGACATTTTAAAAATTTTTTTTCAACAGTTATTTAGAAGAAAGGCTAAGAGCAGTATGTGGAAAGCTAAAAACATAAAAAAAAAAATTTACCTCATCACTGTTTTCTTGGATCACAGGTCAGACTTATGTACTTTACACTGTGAAAAAAAATGTGTATTTAAATTTTAAAAGTCTTTGCAACTAATCTAACCACATCTTTATTTCTTTAAATGTAATTAAGTAATCAACTACTAGCATAGAACCTACCAATGTGGAAGTCATCACCAGTGGATCAATAATGCCTTTCCTCCAACCACTAGTCCTTGGGAGATTTCAGCCATATACATTTTCTCACCTTATTACTTTTCCAAGTATAGCACCCTCGTAGATGGGCACCCCTGTTAACTGTCTCATGGATCTGGTCTTTATCTCAGCTCTAATTCTATTAAAATTTAGTTACAAACAAAATTCCACGTAAATCAAGTCTAAGGAGAAGAGAAGGGTAAGGCAAAATATAATAACACATTGCCAAATTCCAGTGAATTCTGCTTTTATGTCTTAGTTCCATGACTTTGCTGAGTAGTGAAATTGCAAAAAGGCAACTAAAAGAAAGAGAAAGAAAATCAAAGGATGTGGGAAGAAAATCGGCCCTCCAGGCATTAAATATGATTTGGCAGTAATATCATGTTTTCCTGTTGCAAATATTCTGCACTCTTGTATTTATTGGTATTGCCTCATTTCCTCCAAGAGGCAGCCAAAGTGTAGGACACTGTACATGTTGAAAACAGGCCTCCATACCTGACAATAATAAATTAAAGACATTTGAAGAAAACCACTAAATTCAGCTATTAGTCAGATTGTCACTTTCTGATATATTTATTTTCTTTAAACAAATATGACATCCACTGGCTTATTTTAAATATTATTCACTTGTGACAAAATCCAAAAGGTTTGCATTTTGTAGCATTTTTCTTTCCCTGTATAATTTCGAGTACCATGTGGGGTTTTATGTTTAATAATATGTTGTAACAGATGTCAATATGATCCAGAACTGAAATGATACTTGGCTCCAAATCTTTTCATCTGCTTCTTGCAGTTTCAGGTTGACCTAATCGAACAGATTCTGCAGATCAACTTGACTGCCTCATAGCCTCTGAGAAGCTGACCCACTTATTCCTGTAGAAGGAAAAGTTTAAAAATTGAGAACAAGTAATAGTCTGCTAAGTGAAATTAGAAAGAGCCACTTTTGCAGAACAGTGAATGCATTTGAGGTCTTTCCACTGCTTCAACATTTGAGATTGTAATTCCGAGTTTTTATGCACTACTATTGAACCCAGTCTCTGTCAACTATCCATCCAGCAGTTAGCTATGTGAAAAAGCTATTAAAAGGATAAAGTTTGAGTCATTAAAGCTATCTTATCCATCCCTGTTTTTTATTTTAACAGGGAGTGCCAGGAACAAAAATTTCTGAAAATATATTTGCTATAGTTTGGGAACAGCATGTTCATTTATTTGAAAAAAGTATTTTACTCCTTAACGTAATGTGTTTGATTCTCTATCGCAAGAAGGCCACAAAGGGTGAGAATCAACTTGGAAAATCTAATCTATGTATCAATCAAAACTTTAATATAGCTCTATAATAATTTTTCCATTAACATCAATATAAATTAGAAATGTCATTTTTAAGTAAAAAAACGTGCTCTTAAAAATCTAGAAATTTATATATTTCTAGATCTGAAGAGAAATCAGAGTATGAAATCCATGTATTTGGAAAGAGGCAATTAATAGCATTAAGGAGGAAACTCAGTGCCAGATCCATAAGAGCTATGCACTCAAACATTTCAGCAAACACATCTGTTCCTGTATTTCTCAACTTATAAAACTCAGAACTTTTTAAGCAATATGATGAGAAAGAGGCAGGAAGTATACATTAGGATTCCCAGGTCTTTTAAACATGCAATTTAAGGCATCTCTTTCCAGCAATCATTTTCTTTAATTGCCTGCTGAGAGATCTAGGTTAAGCCTCACTTTGCTTAGATACTGTTTTTATGTCTTTAGATAACAAAGATCTCTTTTCTCAGCATATTTTAGAATGTCCTAAATAGAGTTGTATAATTTTAAGTACATCTTATGTATCAGACCCGAGGATAGTGATTGGATGCTGATATTTTTGAAACAGAAGTCAATTGAGTATTGAAAAATAAACATTTTCCAAGAGGAAAAAAAAGAACCATCTGTAGCATTGACAAATAATGTAGTGAGATGAGAGAATTCAGGTGAGTCAGCATCTTCTTCATGACTTAGTGCTCACATCAAATGATCAACAGATTTTCTTTTAAAAATTGAATGTTACATATTAACATTCTCCAAATAGCCATGGTACATCATCAACTCCAAAAATAACGTAAGGAAAATGATATTCACCAAATGCAAAATAGGGCTCTCCTCACACACACAAAATAATTAATTAAACTGAATTAGGAAAGAAGTCCATAAATTAACTTAAAGTGTGAAGGAAAAATTGTAAAATATGTAATTTCTCCCTGATTATTACTTCCAGTTTGGTATCTATTTGAAAATTTTTATCATAAAAAGAATATTTATAATAACAAAGGAGGAAAATCAATAATATACATATATGCCACACAAAGGGACAAAAACCAAATATTCCAACAGAAAAATGGCACTAAAAACATGAAAAGATAATTGCAGAAAACATGAAATACAAATAGTCAATCAGCATATACAATTATTAAGCCTCCCTGATAATCAAAATCATATAAATTAAACAACTTTTTTTTCTCTTGATTGGCAAACCAAAAATAAATTTTGCATAACATGTGTTATTAGACATGTAAGAAAATACAAATTTGCATATATTATTAAAGAAATATAAACCTTAAATTGTTTTCAAAGGAAATTTTCTGATCTTTATCGAACAAATTTATGTTTATTTCTCCTATTCCGGCAAGTTGACTTCTAGGTATTTACTCTAAGGATATAATAGTTCAAGTGTGCAACATACATGAAAAAATGTGTTCATTAAAAGTTTGTTTAAATTAGTGATAAGTCAAAATAATTTAAATATCCTGTAATAAGTTCTATGAAGTAATGATGCACATGTTTATTTCTTGATTTTTAAGACTATTTATGATACATTCATAAGTGAAAACAACAGCTTATAACACTGTATGTAAAGCATTATTATAGTTCTCTTAAATATATATATATATACTTAAATATACATATATGTATATGTGCATCTACATATACAAGGGGGAAGAGAGGAAGAAAGGCAGATAGAGAGAGAGATTCAATCACGAAGTTTTCTCAGGATACAATCTAAAACAATGAACTACTTTGAAAACTTAATTTTTGAAAAATGGGAACCAAAACAGTAAATGAAAAGACTGTGAATACTACTAAGATTGTAAAGTCTATACAGAGGTCTGAGGACCAGCCGATAACTCACACTGGGGGAAACCTTCTCAAGGAAAACCTTGAGACGTATAGGAAAGTGCTATTGCCTCTGTGTACAGACCTGCTCGTTGCTGCAAAGTTTCTGCCTTGATAAGTGTCTTAGAAGCATGCTTGCTATTCCTGAACCTTGTTTGAGTCTGCTTCACCTCACTTCTCCAGGATGCTCTATCTAGTTGGCCACTAGAAGCCCTATGAGCTTAAATCCCATCTTGGCATCTGCCATTGCAGCCAGTGGGTGAATAGTGCTGGTACGTAACCAAATGCCTGTAGATATTGGCAATACATTTCCACAAGGCTGAAGAGGTGAGAACGTGCTAAAACGAGTCAGAGGGTGGATTGCGCTATAGCATTTAAAATCACCTGTTAAAAGGAGACAGGTAGCAGAGGGGTGAACTAGCATGTTTGTGCCAATGACACAGCCCCCCTGAGAACTTCCCTCTCTCTGCTTTAGGATTTCCCTCTCCTCAAGATTCTATCCAAGAGGTCTCAGTCCTTCACAGTCCTCCCTGGGAGAATTTGCTCCAGATCTCTTCATTTCTTTCCTCCCTTCCTGGTCAGAACTGCTGCAGGGAACTCAGGTGCTCTGCCTCCGCTTGCTGCCCAGGCTGATGCACTTTGTAACAGAAAGGCAGCAACTTGTCTCTCTTGGCTGCATGAACTAGTTTTAATTCACAAGGTCATCCTTAGACGACCACATGTACATCTACTAATGCCAAAATGTGCATCTACTCTATGGGCATTACATAGTATCGTAGTATTTATTCAAATGTCTGTAGATACCAGCATATTTCCGTTAGAATTAAGCATTTTTTCTTTTTTCTTTTTCTTTTTTGGAGGCAGAGTCTTGCACTATCCCCCAAGCTGGAGTGCAGTGGCATGATCTTGGGTCACTGCAACCTCTACCTCCCAGGTTCAAGCTATTCTCATGGTTCGGCCTCCCCTGAGTAGCTGGGATTACAGGCACATGCCACCATGTCCGGCTAATTTTTGTATTTTTAGTAGAGACAGGGTTTCGCCATGTTGGCCAGGCTGGTCTTGAGCTCCTGACCTCAAGTGATTCACCTGCCTCGACCTCCCAAAGCCCTGGGATTAGAGGCATGAGCCACCGTGCCTGGCCAGAATTAAGCAATTTTGAACACAATTTTGTATTAAGTACTACTGACTTCTTTGACGCCATGAAATGCTTGACTAATGCTAGTTAAGATTGATGAATCTTCTATCCTTCTTCATAAGTGGCAGTGGGAAGGGGTCAAAAAAACCTGATTTTCCTTGTGTGACTGATGGTCAGTTAATGTGTCGGTTTTAAATGTGTTTTGTTTTTTAAAAAATAGTGTCATGATGCTTAAGGGACATAGCTGATTCCAATACATAGTGCTTCTGCTGCACTGACTGGAAATATATAGAATTTGGAGTTCATCAGGAATTAAATGATTTATAAACTAACCTGAATGTCAAAAACAATACTTGCAATAACATTTCTGTAATAAACTTTCAAATTCCAAATTTCCCAAAAAGCTTTAAGATTATATTCTAGCAATTCAAAGACTTTAATTCTTAGATAGTTATTTTACTTACACATATGTATTCTGTTTCCTCCAACTCTTTCGGAACAGAAATCACGTGCTGCAGTTGTGTCTCACCCACAGTGTCTAACTCAGAGCCTCATATAGAAATGTGTCAAATGTATAAATGTTCAAAATATTGACCTCAGTGTATCAATTACTTTTTTCCTCTATTTTTGACATCCTTCCTAAAAATCAGTATCTGATGGTTTAAAAAATCTTTCATTTTCAGCCAATTCTCTGTCCTGGCTTACAAAAGTGGAGAGAAAGATATATATTTGTAATAGTAATAAGAGGTGTAAGAAGCAAATTCCTACTTTCCTCTCTATAGTAGCAAGGTTCTGTCACCCAGGCTGGAGTGCAGTGGCACGATCTCAGCTCACTGCAACCTCTGTCTCCCGGGTTCAAGCAATTCTCCTGCCTCAGCCTCCTGAGTAGCTGGGACTACAGGTGCCCACCACCACGCCCAGCTAATTGTTTGTATTTTTTGTAGAGAGAGAGTTTCACCATGTTAGCCAGGATGGTCTCGATTTCCTGACCTCGTGATCCACCCGCCTCGGACTACCAAAGTGCTGAGATTACAGGCATGAGCCACCACACGCAGCCTGTTTAAGTTTCAATTTAAATTCTTTCCTGATTTTTTCTGATTCAGTCTCATTGTCCTGCATCTCTTTTACGATCAGCTGAATCCATGGCCATGAGCTTGGTTTTCCTGAGCTTTTCCAGGGTGCTCATGTGCCTTCGACCCATGAATGAAGCACTTTCTGCATAGAGAGGTGTAGATGCCCACTTGGTACCTGGCAGAGGCATAAAAAAGTGAGCTGTGTTGGGTGGGCAAGCCCGCCCTTCAGCTGAACCACCTACTATAGAAAAATGCATGCACCTCCTCCAATTTGGAAATGCCTCAAATGACCCGTGAAGAGGTGGGTGGCGATGAAGGAAGTTGTCTCAAAAAGAATCAGGGCATAAACAATGTAATGATAATGATGACTTTCCCTGCCTTTTTGCACGAATTACCCTAAAGGGAGAAATGTAGAAGCAGATGCAAAGGCGCATGGCTTTAAAGTTGAATGTCCACTGTCTATATCTGAGTTGGATCATAACTATTTGTTTTCTTCCAGAGTAATTAGGTTAATTTCAAAGACTTCAATCCTCACTATCTAAACCCATATATTTAAATGCTTGGAAAATTTTGAGAATATAATTTGGTGTGTTCCTTTAATAAAAACCTATTTCTTTCTCTTTAACAAAAGGGAGAGAGGAGGAAGCAATATACAAAATGATAAAGATGACTGTAGCATAGCAGCCACTGTTGAGCTTCTGCTACTCCCTGACTTAGAAAGCTACTTCCAGCAAATCCCCTGAATTCTCTGCCTAGTTTTATCCATTTGAAAACATGGGAGTAATAATCTTTATCAGAAGGTGATAAATATCCATCTAGTTATCACTAATATTCATCAAACACTTTATGGCAAGGAATTCATTATTATTTAATAGTAGTGTGTGTTCAAAATTCCTTAAATCCATTGGAAATACACTGCTGGAACTGATGAGCATTTAACTCATATTTAATGTCAACAGAGCAAGTGCCCAAACCATGGCACTTAATCCCTGCCAGAGATGGAAAAAAATAGTTATTTTGAGACTAAATGAAAACCTGACACATGCTGGAACTTTCAGGTCAATTTAGGTGCCAAGGAGGGGGGAACATTGATTTCCAGAATAAAATTTTATACATAAAATGGAAATGACTTAAAACTATCAGGAAAGAGGAGTATTGGTCATTGGGTCATTCACCAGTTTTATTTGGAGACATTTTACTCTGCTACCCTTCAAAAAGAGAAATGAAAAATAAAGGGAGGAGCCCATGACACTGGTGCATCCACGGGGCTTTCCTTTTAAACCTCAAATCTACCTTTCCAAAAGAGGTACTTACTTGAAATAGGATATTTCAGATCAGATCCATTACTGATAATCTCTCCTGGCCTATAGATTAGCAGCTCTGATCATATCTATAACCATCTAGCTTGGCTAAATAAGAACTACTGAACAATCTATATTTTTCAATTTCCCTATGGGCTGCAATTCTTTTCTAAGAAAAAGGGTCTTATGATTTTAGGCAGCCATGACAGCAGTTCCCATATATGATCATAGGAGTTCAGTTTTTTAAATCCATGTAACTTCTGATGCATGAAACACAGCTCAGAAATATACCAGCAGAAAATATTGCAGAATCTTTGAGTCTACCAGTCCATGCTGTATCATTTAAAAAATCTCAAACCATAAAAACAATCATATGTAACAATTCTGTTGAGAATCTGCTGAAGAGGTGGTAGATAACTAGAAAGTACACCTGTGTGAGATTCTAAATTTAGCTGCTGCTACATTATTGCTACAGAGATTTTTCTATATAGTCCAATTTTTTGAATTTCAATGGAGAAAGTTAATTCCTGTTATGAATTATAACTTTAAAAGGCCATGGCATGTTTCTAAATTTTTCAAATTTTGTATAGCTTTGGTAACAAATAAAGTTAAATAATTTTTTTTTATCGCTCTGGTCTCCAAAGTAGGGGGTTCAGAAAAATAGACTTGTATATAGGAAGAAAAATGATGTTTTTATACATTATCTTTAAACTCCATGCTTTTGTATGCATAGAATGAATTTTTTGAGAGTTAGAGGTATATGATTGAAATGTAATCATTCGGATGTCATAGGTTTTTAAAAATGAGACTGTTTCTGTATCAGTTTTGGCTGATAATTCAAAAGATGCAATCAACAAACAAAAACCCAAACAAGATAATATAGAAGGCCAGTATGCTTATGCTCCCATAAGCAGAAGTTCAAACTGGTTATGCCATCTTTACGCTCAGGTTATTAAAGGGTTGAAGTCAGAGAGAATTTCTTGGGAAGAAGTTGCTGGACTTCAATGGTATTTTTTTCTCTGTACCTCTGTGGGGAAGAAGTAGGATTTGCTTCCCTCTCACTTGAAGCTGAATGAGAGGTATTTCAAGACTACTTTGCAGGCTGGACTTTTACCCACTGTCACTCAGAAGACACGTGGATTGGTGTTGGATCATACCTGAAAAAGTTTTTAGAACTTTGGTATTTGCCAAATACAATGGATGAGGTATCCTGAAACACTCTTGAAAAAATATCAGTAAGATACTTAGAGAAAGAATGTATGGTATAGATGAATGAAAGAACTGATTTATCCTGGGGAATCTTCTGAGCTCCCAGTCTTCAGATGCCTCCACACACAAGCCCACATAAGGGTTTGGTTTGAAGATCCTGTTAGATTGCTTGGATATGTTTTTGCTGCCCTCACCTCCTGTAAGGATTATATATACATAAATGGATCTTTCAATGATACAAGATTTATCTGTCTGTCCGACTGAAGCAATCAGTTCTTCCTTGTGTCTACTCAAGCATTTATGAAAGTTCATGGCCTCTCCCAGAGGACTCTAGAAGTCCTGCAGCTTTGTCTCTAACTTAGATCCTCCTTGCCTATTCCCTCCTTTGTTCAAGGCTGAATGTTTCCAGATACAGCTTTCTCCAGGCAGCTCAACCAAGAACTACAGGAAAGACAGAGAGGCTGAGAGGCAGGTTCTCATGGGTTGTGATAAATGGGATTGTGGGTTTCAGTGGGAATGTGTGCTCCATTGGGTAGAGAATTGTGCTGATGCTAGGGGTAATTACTGTATGAATATTAATAGTGATCATGGTAGTTATAGAATAGATGTTCTGAAAACTGATAGGGACATTTTAAAATAAAACTATTTGAATAAAATTATATATAATCATTAAAAAATCAAAAGCAATGGAAAGGCTTAATAGCAGAGTCTACACAGCTGAGGAATGAGTGAATTCTATTATACACGTGAATTATATTATCCATTGTTCATGCCTAGCTGAACAATGAGGATACATTCTGAGAAATGTGTTGTTAGATGATTTCACTATTGTGTGAAAGACATAGAGTGTACTAACACAAACCTAGATGGTATTGCCTACTACACACCTAGGCTCTATGGCATAGCCTAGTGCTTCTAGGCTACAAACCTACACAGCATGTTACTGTAATGAATACTGTAGGCAATTGTTAACACAATGGGAAGCATTTATGTATCTAAACATATCTAAACAGATAAAAGGTACAGTAAAAATATGGTATTATAGCCTTATGGGACCACCATCATATATGTGGTTAGTCACTGGCTGAAATATCATTATGTGGCACATGAGTGTATATAGGAAGAAATTATCCAGAATGCAGGATAGACTCAAAGAAATGGAAGGTATGCAACAGTAGTCAGCTAATAGTCATTCCAAAGAAAAAGACAACTTAAAAGAACAGAAAGGGAGAGACAACATTCAAATATATAATAGCCAATAATTTTCAAGAATCATTTTAAGACAAATCCTCAATTTCAGGAAACTCAATGAATTTCAAGCAGGAAAATAAAAAATTAACATCTATCTCTATATGGCTTATAGTGAAAATGCAGACTACTATAGACAAAGAGATGATATCGAAAGCAGCTAGATTTTTTTCTTTAATCATGTTCAAAAGTGCAACAACTAAACTGAGAAACAGGTGACTTCTCAAAAGTAACCTGGGGAGACAAGGGTAGATCAATATCTTCAAAGGGCAGATAGATGACATCTATTGATCTAGAATTGTATATTCAGAAAAATGTTCAAGAACAAGGATGAAATACATTTTTAGATGAACAAGAATAGAGTTCACCACCAAAACACCTTTACCAAAGAAACTTTTTAAAAAAGACATACTTCAAGAAGTAGCCAAATGAAAGCAGAGAGCATACAGGAGATACTAAATGGCACTGTCAGTAAAGTAAGTGAAAACATTCCTGTAACTCTTAAACATTGATGCCATGAAACAAAAATAGTAATATTGAATAATAATGTGTGAGGTTAAGATATCAGATAGAAGATATAATTAAAATGTCAAATAATTTTATAGACATCATGAGGGCAGGACCAGAGATAAACATCCTAAGAACTGTTCATTTTTAGAGAACAGGATATTGTATGGTTTTATTTTAGGATTTTAAATTTAACTATATGCTAAATTTAAATAAAGACTATATCATCTTATTTGGGAGAGGAAAATTATAGAAGTGAGAATAAAATAAAGAAAAACCTCAGTTGAGAACTAAAAGAGGTCAGGAAAAGGAAAAATAACTAAGGAAGTGGGACAAAATAAAATATAAATAAATACAAAAAATCAAATTTAGTTTTATTAAAAGGCAAAGGCTATCAGAACGGACGGGAGAGAGGAAGAAAAGATTTTTAAAGCTCTTTAGAAAACAGAGAAAGGGGAACTCTCCTGCACACTCAGCAAGACTAATTTATTCTTTCTATGATGGTTAAGGTGATTTAACATTGTGTACCCCCAACAACCACACTTGACTGGCTTAAAAAATATTTTGAAGTGCCTTATTGATATAATTTGTATGCATACCATACAATTCATCTATTTAAAGTATACAATTCAATGGCTTTTAGTATGATCACAGATATGTAACTATCACCACATTCCATTTTAGAATACTTTTAAACACCTCAAAAAGAGTCCCTGTATCCTTTAGCTATCATTCCCATATTCCTCTACCCAACCCTCTACCAGACATAAACAACCACTAATTTACTTTCTGTCTCTATAAACTTCCCAATTCTAGACTTTCATATGAATGAAATCATATAACATGTGGTCATTCATAACTGGCTTCTTTCTTCCATGCTTTCAAAATTCATCAAGGTTGCAGCTGTTGTCACTAAAATATTTCATTGCACGGATATACCACATTTTTTAAACTCATTCATCTCTTGAGCATTTGGGTTGTTCCCATCTTTTAGCTATTATGAATAATTGTGCTATAAAAATTTATGTAAAAGTTTTTCTGTGAATATGTTTTAATTTATCTTGGGTATATGCCTATGGCTAGAAATTCTGGGTCATATGATTACTCTATACCTAATTATTTGAGGAACTGCCAAACTGTTTTCCAAAGTAGCTGCATTAGTTTACGCATTCCCATCAGCAATGCGTGAGGGTTTCAATTTCTCTAAATCCTCACCAACATATACTATTATCTGACTTTTTTATTCTAGTCATCATAAAGGATATGAAGTTACATCTCACTGGGGTTTCAATTTGCATTTCTCTAATGATAAATAACATTGAACATCTTTTCATGTGCCTATTGCCATTTGTAATCTTCCTTGGAGAAATGTATATCCAGATCATTTGCCAAATTTTTAATTGTGCTATTGGTCTTTTTATTACTGAGTTTTAAGAGTTCTTTATGTATTATATATTATCTATACAAATCTCTTATCAGATATATGATTTGCAAATATTTCCTTCCATTCTGTGAGTTTTCTTTTACTTTTCTGATGATATCTTTTGATTCACAAAAGTTTTTAATTATGAAGATAACTAATTTCTCAAAATTTCCTTTGTTTGCTTATGATTTTGGTGCATCTAAGAATCCTTGGCTGAATTCAAAGTCATGAATATTCTTCCTAATTTTTCTTCTAAGAACTTTATAGTTTAGTTCTTACACTTAGGTTTTTTATGTATTTTTAGTCAATCTTTGTATATGGCATGAGGTATGGGTCCAAATTCATTCTTTTTTATATTGCCATCCATATTACCACTTGTTGAAAAAAATTTTCCCCGATTGAGCGGTCTTGGCATTCTTGTCCAAAGATAATTGAATATAGATGTGCAGGTTTATTTCTGGGCTCTCAATTCTAATCTGGTGATCCATATGCCTAACCTTGTGCCATTATCACACACTGTCTTGATTTTTGCTTTATAGTAAGTTTTGAAATCAGAAAGTATGAGTTCTCATATTTTGCTCTTTTTATTCAGGATTGTTTTGGCTATTCTCAGTTCCTTCAATTCCCATGTGAATTTTAGAATAAGCTGTCAATTTCTAAAGAGGCCAGCTGGGATATAATAGGAAGTACATTGAATCTGTAGATCAGTTTGTAGAGCACTGCCATTTTAACAGTATCAAGTTTTCTGATTTGTGAACATGAGATGCCTTTCCATTTATTTAGATATTTTTATATTTCTTTCAGTAATGTTTTGAGTGTAGTTTTGCAAGTTTTTGTTAAATTTATTTCTAAACATTTTATTCCTTTTGATGCAATTGTGAAAAATTTTTTCTAAATTTTATTTTCAGCTTGTTCATTGCAAGTACATAAAAATGTAAAAGATTTTTATATATTTATCTTGTATCCTGCAACCTTGTTGAACACATTAGCTCTAATAGTTTTATAGTGAATTCCTTAGTATTTTCTACATAAAAAATTATATCATTTGTGGAGATAGTTTTACTTCTTCCTTTCCAACCAGGATGCATTTTATTTCTTTTTCCTGCCTAATTGCCCTGGCTATATACACCAGTGCACTGCTGAATATAAGTGGTGAGAATGGAAATCTTTGTCTTCTTCCTGATCTTATGAAGAAAACAGCTAGTCATTCACCATGAAATATGATATTAGGTGCGTGTTTTATGTAGATGACCTTATCAGGTTGTTGAGTTCCCCTCCATTCTTAATTTGTTAGGTGTTTTAAAGATGAAAGGTGTTGGACTTTGGCAAATGTTTTTTCTGCATCTATTGAGATGATCATGTGATTTTTGTTTTTTATTCAGTTAGTACAATGTATTCCGTTCATTGATTTGGGGGTCTTGAATCTTGCGTTCTTGGAATAAATCCCACTTGGTTGCAGTGTATAATTATTTTTTTATTTTTGTGGATTTGGCTTTCTAGCATTTTGTTGAGAATTTTGGCATCCAATTTCATAAGACATATTGGTCTATAGTTTTTTTTTTTTTTTTTTGTAATGTCTTTGTCAGGTTTTAGATTTAGGGTAATACTAAACTCAGAAATTGAGTTGGGAAGTCTTATTTCCTTGCTGGCTGAATGTTTGTGTACTTTGCCAAATTCAAATGTTAAGATTCTAGCCCCCAATATCATGGCAGTTCATTAATTTCTGCTCTAATATTAATTATTTCATTCCTAGTGTTTGGTATAGATTTATGCTGTTATTAGTAAACATATTACATTTTATATGATAGAGGTCAAATTATTATATTGTCTACGTATTTTTTTTTTTTTTGAGATGGAGTCTTGCTCTGTTGCCCAGGCTGGAGTGCAGTCGTGCAATCTCGGCTCACTGCAATCTCTGCCTCTCGGGTTCACGCCATTCTCCTGCCTCAGCCTCCTGAGTAGCTGGGACTACAGGCATCCGCCACCATGCCCGGCTAATTTTTTTATTTTTTGTATTTTTTAGTAGAGACAGTGTTTCACCATGCTAGCCAGGATGGTCTCGATCTCCTGACCTCGTGATCCAACCGCCTCGGCCTCCCAAAGTGCTGGGATTACAGGCATGAGCCACCATGCCCGGCCTTGTCTATGTAACATTTTATACAACTGCTTTTTAAATAGATCTAGAAAAGAAAAAGTACTATTTTCTACTATCTTTTATTACACAGTTACATTACTAGTGTTCATTGTTTTTTTCATGTGGATTCAGTTTACCATCTGGAATCATTTGCTTTCACTCTGAAGAACTTCTCATAGAATTTATTGTAAGGTGGGGTTGCTAGCAACGAATTCTAGCTTTAAAAAAATCTGGAAAAGTCTTTTTTTCACCTTTATTTTTTAAAAATAGTTTTGCATCATAGAATTCTTGGTTGACAGTTTTATTTCTTTGAGCATTTGAATATGTTCTCTCACTGCCTTCTGGTCTCCATTGTTTATGCTGAAAAGTTAGTGTTAACCATATTGAAGTTCTCTCAATTGTGTTTGTCTGGGAGAGTTTTTATTTCTCCATTAGTTTTTTGTAGTTTTTGTTTTTGTTTTGTTTTGTTTTGTTTTGTTTTTGTTTTTTTGAAACATGGTCTTTGCTCTGTTGCTCAAGCTGAACTGCAGTGACACAATCATGGTTCACCGCAGCCTTGAACTCCTGGGTTCAATGATCCCGCAACCTCAGCCTCCCAAGTAGCTGAGACTACAGTGTATGCCCCTATGAATAGATAATTTCTTTATTATTTTTTTCTGTGGTGACACAGTCTCACTATATTGCCCAGGCTGCTCTTGATCTCCCAGCCTCAAGCAATCTTCCCTCCTTGGACTCCCAAAGTGTTGGAATTACGGGGGTGAGCCACAATGCCTGGCCAATTTCTCCACTAGTTTTAAAGGATGATTTCACTAGATAAAGAATTCTAGTTGGCTATTTCTTTCTGTCAACTTGTTAAATCTTTTACTTTACTTTCTTCTTACTTGCATAGTTTCTGAAGATAAGTCTGATGTAATTCTTATCCTTGCTTCTCTACAGATAAGGACTTCCTTTTTTTCACTATGACTTCTTTCAAGATTTTCTCTTTTGTATTTAATTCTATGTAGTTTGAGTATTATATATCTAAGGGTAGAATTTTTGGTATTTAATCTGTCTAATGTTATCTGAGCTTCTCAAATATGTGGTTTGGTGCCTGTCACTAATTTTTTAAAACTGTCAGTCATTATTACTTTAAATATTTTGCCTTATGTTCCTTTTTCCCTTTCTTCTCCCATTATGGCATTCCTATTATGTGTATATTCCACCATTTATAATTGTCCCATTGTTATTGGATATTTTTTCTATCTTTTCTATTTTCTTTCTCTTTGCATTTCAGTTTTGGAAGTTTCTATTGACATATCTTAAAGCTCACTAATTCATTCATTTGCCTGTGTCCAGTCTACTCATGAGCCCATCAGAGGCATTCTTCAATTATGTTACAGTGTGTTTGATATCTAACATTTCTATTTGTTTCTTCCATAGACTATCCTTTTCTATGCTTAAATTACCTATCATTCATTGCATGTTGTCTACCTTTTCTATGAGGTTTTAAAATATCAGTCTGATATTTCTAAAATCTCTTTCATATCTGAGTCGATTCTGGTGCTTACCCTGTTTCTTTGAGCTACATTTTTTTATCTTTTAATATGCCATGTAACTTTTTGTTGAAAGATAAATGAATGATGTCTAGGGATGGTACTGGCTTCAGCAATGGGCTTCTGTTTCTGTAATCTGTGATTCTCTGTATATCTCTGTCTCTCAGATCTGGGGAGCAACAATTCTCCTTGCAACCTAAATTCTATGATGGATCTAAAAATCAAAGTAAAGAATAGAAAAAATAGAGAAAATAAATAGAACCAAAAGCTGGTTCTTTGAAAAGATTAACAAAGTTAACAAATCCTTAGCTAGATTGACAAGAAAAAAAGAGATAAAACTCAAATCACTAAAAACAGGAAAAAGCAGACATTAATACCCTCCTTATAGAAATAGAACTGCTATGAATAGTAACCCTTGAAGCCAATAAATGTGAGTTCTTCAATATTATTCCTCCTTTTAAAGAATATTTGGTTATTTCAAATCCTTTGAATTTTCATATATATGTTATAATTAATTTTTCAATTTATTTGAAAAGTACTGATGGGCTTTGATTTTTAAAAACTGTGTTCAATCTATAGCAATCTGTGGAGGACAGTTATCTTAAAAATATTTCATCTTCCAACCAGAGGTATGCTGGTAAATATTTAATAATGGGTTCTCTGGGAGGGAGGATGGTACCAATTCACAGTATTTAATCATTTCTATATTGTGAATGTTCCCATCATTGTTGATATTAAGGTATAAACATTATGTCGTTGAATGTTGAGTCAGGAATAAATGTGCACAGCCAAGTCCCATGAGCCATTCTGAACCATCTCCAGGTTAACGTTACTTCTAACCCATGAATAATATAGTATTGTTCTTTATTTATTTAGGTCTGTCATTTCTCTAATAAATACTCCATAGTTTTCATTGTAGTTGTTTACAAATCTTTAATTGGATTTATTCCTAGGTAATTTGTGTTTTATGCTGTTATAAATGATATTATTATTTAATATTAAATTTTATTTTCCCTTTTATTTTTGCTAGTATAATGGAATACAATTAACTTTTGTATATGTTGAGGATGTGGAGCAACTGGAATTTTGTTATATGGTTCATGGTTATGTTCAATGGTATAATGCTTTGGAGAATGATTGGAAGTTTTTTTATTAAGTTAAACATATGTTTACCCCATAAGACAGCAGTTCCACTCTCAGGTATTAATCATAGGGAATAAAACCATATGTTCACAAGAAATACTGTATAAGAGTATTTATAGCAGATTATTTAATAATAGCCAAAATCTGGAAACAATCTAAATATCCATCAATAATAAAACTTATACATAATTTATGATTTATCCATAGAATAAAATTCTCCTAAACAATGAAAGCAATAAACTACTCTTACCTAAACAATATGACTCAATCTCACAGAACAAAGGCATTCTGATGTTATTTACTTTCAATGCAAAAATAGATAATATTAATCTATGGGGATGGGAAATCAGAAATGTTTGACTCTGGGTGTTGGGTGGATTTTAGACGGGAAAAAGGCAAATGACAGCTTGCTTTATATTTAGAAATGTTTTACATTCAGAGAAGTTATACATTTTGTTTTGTGTGAAGGTTACATAAGTGTATACATTTGTCAAAACTAACCAAACAAAGCCTTTTAATTCTATGTACTCTTTTATGTAAATTATACATCAAAAGAACAATGCTAGATGACTTATTTTTAAAAATATAGTTTTTTAATGTAATGAAGAACTGGAAAGCAAATGATATCCAAAGAAAAAACCTGAAAAATCAAGTGTGATGGTTAATTTTATGTGTCAACTTGGCTAGGCCACAGTACCCTGGTATTTGGTGAAACATTATTCTAGATGATTCTTTGAAGATATTTTTAAGTAAAGCAGATTACCCTACATACTGTGGGTGGGCCTCATCCAATCCGTTTTGAAGGCCTTTATAGAAATAGACTGACCTGTCTCAGAAGAGGCAGTCATGACAGTGGACTGCCTTTGAACTCAAACTGCAACTGTTTCCTGGAGCTCCAGCCTACAATTTTAATGGGAGGATTTTGGACTTGACAAGCCTCCACAGTCATGTGAGCCAATCTTTTAAAACAAATCCCACTCTCTCTCTATACACATCCTATAGGTTTTGTTTCTCTGGAGAACCCTAACTAATATATCAAATGACAGCAAGAACCCGGGAAAGTAAGTGGAATGCCAAATCCAGTTTTCGTTTTAGGGCATTTGTTGAAGGAGGTCAAATTGAACTTTGTATATGGTCCTTCCGGACTTAGGAGAGAGATAAATTCCAGGGTCTACACAAAACGAGGAGTCTGCTAGGCATCTCCCTCCATAAATCCAGGTCTCCAAAAGTCTACATCCTTAGTGCAAATATAAATTAGAAATAAGCTGACCTCACTGTCAGGGAAATTGCCTCAAACATTGACATTTAGAATCAAGGGGAAGAAATATCTGCCCTGAGAATCTGTAAACAGCTAGCCCTTGTGGGAATGTGTAACCTGAATTCATAATACTTGAATGATCTGAATGAAACCCTCAAGCTAAGAATTTGGCATAAAGTGATTCCAGGCTAGTAGGATTCTCAGAGAGTCTAGCAAGAACTACAAGTCATTTTGGAGGATCTCACTTCAGCACAGATCTCTAAGAAATTACATTTTTAAAGGTCCAAGAAGTCCAGGCACAAAGTAATAAATAAAAATAAGGAACAAAAACAAAAGCAAACATACTACTACACAAAATAAAGGATTATAAGAAAAAATCAGCCAAAACAGCAGACATCAGAGTAAAACACACAAAAAATAAGATAATAGAATTATCAGACACAGAACATAAAATGAATGTTTAGTATATTTGAAGAAATGAAACTGAAAAGATGAGTATCAGTAAGAGACTATAGAAAGATCCATCTTCTAGAAGTAAAATAATGATAATTTAAATTAAAAATAAAATATGAAAGGGAAATGAGTAAGTTTGCGGGCTTGATATGAAAAGGTCTTATCAGATTCCTAGAGGACAGTAAGAGGAGAATGGGGTAGAAAAGCATAGATTTATTTCTTTATGACTTCTGATGCTAACAATGAGTCAAAGTCTGATTCCATGTAGAAATTCATACTAATTTTGAAATTTGGTTTGATGAAAAAAATGATTACTTTAGAAAACAATAATTGTGTTCAACAATAATTGAACACATTTATTTGCGATGATAGAATAAAAGTGATTATAGGCATGTACAAATTCAGAACTGAAATTTTATACTAATGTTTCTCTGAGTATTAGTTAGCATGTCTTTTTTAGGAAATTTGTTAAGGAAAGTTGTTTTTAAAGTATTCTTAGCAATGCAGATGACACAAAATAAATATTCTGAAATTTCAATTTCCTGACTTTGTAAAAGCCTAGGTTTCCTTTCAGTGATTTATGTTTAAATTGATTTATTTTCTTTCTATCATGACAGGTAACTTTTTTATTAAAGTTGTAAAGTCTCAGATTCACAAGACAAGCCCATCCGTGGGCAAAAAATGGAAGCTATACACTCACATTTGGAGTCCTGTTTCCCATTAATTCTTTTCTTCTTCAGCCAAAATGACTTAAATACATAGAACAATTATGAAATGAAGCAATGGTGACAAGTGCCACCAGCATTGTGCTAGAAAAAATTCCTCTTACACACACACTAAAGGATCAGACTTCTACAAGTGTCTTCATGCTCGCAAATGAGAAAAAGGCACTTTGATGAGGAACTAGTTGCAAGATTGTTCAATTATTAGCTAAAGATCACAAAATGTTTCACACAATTTTAGTCACTTGCTTTTCCAGCCTGTATGGAAATTATTGACACTATGCTTTGGCCCAGTGAAGCATAGGAAACTGAAAAGGTGCTGCTACCGAATTACTGTCGGTAGGTTCGTTGTCAACATGTTATATAACTTGGGACCACAGTGATCTAGAAAATCATAAAAGCAAAATGGCTTTATTGCAGATGGATGAATCTACAGACATTATTAGGAGTGTTCAGTTAATAGTACTAATTAGAAGTCCTCAAGAGAAATGCTTTATAGGACATTATTAGTTCTGCAAAGACATATCACAACAAATTACTGTGGGGGAAATATTGAAAGCAATAAATAAGTACCTCAAAACACGGTATTACACACATACTGTATATATTTTGTGTTGATGATCCACCGAAAGACAGAAAGTCACAAAGGCTCTTTTTCAAAATACTTCAGAAACTCTAAGAGCCAAAGTTTTAGTCACTAAATGTTTCTCTGTGTAGAATGTAGTGTTATCATAATGGTGACTCTAATACATTAATACGCAGTTGACTCTTGAACAACATGGGTTTGAACTTTGCAGGTCCACTTAAATGCAGATTTTTTTCGATAGATATATTGGACAATTTTTGGAGATTTGTGACAATTTGAAAAAACCTAGCAAATGAACCACATAGTCACGAAATATTGAAAAAAATAAGGAAAAGGCACATCATGAATGCATAAAATGTGTGTAAATACTAGTCTGTTTATGTGCTAATCAACTTTATGATATCAATAATGTTTCCAGTCAACAATAGCCTACCAGTAATTATGTTTTGGGGGACTCAAAATTTATATGTGGATTTTGGCTGTGTGGGGATCAGCACCCCTAACCTTCATGTTGTTCAAGGGACAATTGTCCTGTGGATTACTTTAGCTCTGTGTAAAACATTAGATTAAAAGATGTCTTCATGTGCTTTGAAGAATGCTCTATGTTGTCCAGTAGACTCTTGGGTTGTCTCCGTCTGTGGGGTCTGTACCTTTCACTGTCTTTGACCTGTTTACAACTCTGTAGAGATGAGTTATGGCTACATTAGGACAGCTACAACCTCTCTGAAAAGTGAAAACTTTCAGCTTCATTATAATCTGATCTTAAAACCAATTAAGTATCTTGGGGTGGACTCAGGTACACATATATTTTGAAAGCTCACCAGGTATTTTGATGTGCAGCTGGGATTAAGCATAGACTATAGATAGTGAGATAGCAAAAGGAAGGAGAAACATTGCTCCTCTAGACATGATACTATCAGAAACTGAAATGGAAAAAGCTGGTTAACAACGTGGAAGAATCAGGAAGCAAGAACCCACTGATCATATCACCCTAGGATTTACTATAGTCAAGAAAAAGAAAACTCGAACCTTGTTCCAAACCAACTAAATCACAATATGGGTGAGTGAGGCAGTGTTTATGAAAATCTTCTCAAGTGACTCTAATGTGCACCCAAGGTGGAGAACCACAGATCTAACATAGGCAACACTAGAATATTCATATCTGGGGCTCTTTAAAATATATGCTCAAACAAATGGGATTGAATTCTTGGTTCTAGGGCCTTTAGAGGATGGTGTTTACCTTTGAGGGGAAGAAACGCACCTAGTTAATCAACACTGGAATAACTAAATCCTAAAACAAGAAACGGGGATACAGAGAGGCAAAAACTTGGCCTTAAGCAAGATCTTCCTTGTCTCCCCAATGTCCCAGGTAAAGTTAGCCTCAACTCCCAGGCCCAGAGACGCCTGAGCCTCCCCAGTATGGATAGGGAACTGGCAGGAATACCATAAGAAATCCTGCAGTTAGATTTAGGCTGTGAGTTCTGAAAGCATTCATCTCAGATAGCATGGAAAATACCCACAATCTATACTTCCCACCACTTATGCAAAGAAGGGTTTTGCTTTTTTTTTTTTTTTTTTTTTTTTTTGACAGAGTCCTGCTCTATCACACAGGTTGGAGTGCGGCGGCTGCACTATCAAAGCTCACTGCAACCTCTGCCTCCCGAGTTCAAGCAATTCTCCCACCTCAGCCTCCTGAACAGCTGGGACTACAAGCATGCACCACCACACCAAGTTAATTTTTGTATTTTTAGTCGAGACGGGGTTTCACCATGTTGGCCAGCCTGGTCTCAAACTCCTGACCTCAGGTGATCCGCTGGCCTCGGCCTCCCAAAGCGCTGTTACAGGTATAAGCCACCACACCAGTCCTCAAAGAAGGTTTTAATTAGAATTGTTTACCTGCTTTTCTGTAAGAGACCATAGTGGATAAACTCATCATGCCTTCTATTATTGTTTACTTCCTTACCCCAAGGCTGTTATGCTCCAAAGTATAACTATGAGTAAGTGGCAGAAGGAAGGTAGTCCCCGCCCCCTGCAACATTACTGACTTCAAAATTAATCTACAAGTGTTTACAGAGCTTTCAGAATGCTCCATTCCGACCTTAGTTTTTTCACATTCCCTTCTCCAAATACATTTTCTTTTTTCAGGTTCTTTGAATTCTTTTTTTCCCATCTTTGGGCCAAAAAAAAAACTGGCTTTGATGGTATGACCGACTGAATGTAAGAGTTCATTCAAATGCAATTTGAAGTTTACTTTGGCTTTTGTGCCTACTCAAAAATAAATAAATTTGATTCAATAAATTTGGAAATATGAATTTCGCACAGCACTCTGACGGAAGCAGGTCGGGCTGGGTCATGTCTATTTGTAGTTTCATAAATGGGGCTAATTCTGGCTTGGATCAGCACAACCGCAGCCCCAGAGTGTTCAGAAATGCTCTGCATTTCTATTTAGGGGTCAGAGTTAAAAGAAAACATGTGCCCAGCTTGAACTCTGCATTTCAGGGTGATAACGTCACAGCAACCAGGCTAAGAACTATAAACCTCTATGGAAAAATAGAGAGAGAAGGAGGAGGGAGGGAGAGACAGAGATTTGGTCTGAAAGGCCCCTTAAGGAGGTTGAGATCTAAGATTAGCTTCGCATGAAAAAGGAGTTGAGTTGGTTAAGACCAATATCCCCAATGTAATAATTTACATCTTTATTGTTAATGGAAGTCATCGTTTTTAGCATGCCACTGAAATAATTTTAATTGATGGATTTTTGTATATTTAATGATTTATCCTTCCAATCACTCAATATTTATGAAGCACCTACTATGTGCCAGATGATGCAGAAGGCATTTTGGAAGCTCATGACCCACTCTTGCATTTCAGTGGCCATTTGCTATGCATGCCCAAGGCAGTCTCCTGAAAACCTAACCTTCCTTCTTTCTCTCATTCTTTGACTCCTGTTGAATCTGAATTTAAGGCAGTTTTTAACTATCAGCCCTGACCTGGATGCTGACTAGAGCTGTGACTTGGCGCTTTCCCTTCTGGCCTTCTCACTCTCCCTAAGTAATTAAGTTCCCTCATGATAGCAAAGCATCATTACAATAGTATTGATACCTGCTGTAATCACTGGCATTCTGGCTTTTCAATTTCCAGTATTTGCCTTGGATCAAGTAGCTCTGTGCTAATGCAGCAGAAGGTCACCCGATGAAGGGGCTGATAGTGGAGAGGACAGCTCTACTTAGCATGCACGGAAGGTTATGCTTTCCTGGCGTTGTAGAGCTAATCTTTCAAGTTGTCCTTTTTTGACTTTCTCAGTTTAATCAGTTTAATCTCATCCTCCCTCTTTTCTGATTACAAGGATTTTCTGTAGAAACCTTGCCTCTACAATAAAGACCATGTGGCAATTTATTCTCATATTGATTTCAACATTTCTGTTCCTCCACCAATGAGCCAATAATGGGAAAGCGGGAGGATGGGTGGAAGAAGGTTGGAAAAGGAAGAGCCAAAAGAAGGAGTGGGGAACAGGAAGCAAGAGCCCTTCCCATACACGCGTTAGTAGGAAAGCCACATACTCCAGTTATCTGGGAAACCTAAATTATCTTAAATGCACTGAAAGCAGAAATGACAGCTAAATTGGAAAGTCTCCACAATGATTAAAGTTAGTTAAAGACAGCTATACCAACAAGGGCTTACTTTCTATTTTCACACTAAAGAGATAGAGACAGATACATAGACATACACACACACACACACACACATACACACCCCTTCTGAATTCAGAGACATTGCAGTGTATCTAAAGAGATAAATCACACAGCAACAACCTTCCCCAAGAATTCAGCAAATTCTGCTTCCACCTGCTTTTCCTGTTCAATGCAGAGTAGTGAGCGGTGTCTTGCTGGGCCCTCTACGAAGGGCAGATGCACAGCCATTTGCTAAAAGAGGGGAAAAGGCACAAAGTGGGATTGGAGGGAAGGTGGTGAGCATGTTTATGAGCTATGGTTATACAGCCTCGTGAAGATGTGCAGTTAGCATTGTGTGCATGGTTCTGGACTGCAACAGAGCATTCTAAGGGGTGATAGAAAACAAAAATAAATCAGTTTGCTGAGTGGCTGCATTTAAAAAACAGTTGTGCTCTGTAGGTCATATTTAACTGTTACATATCAAACTGATACCATTGGCTGTGTAATTCTTAAATATTCTAGAAATTGGGGGAAATTGGTTAGCCATTTATTTAACCACACCATGCCCGGTGAAAAAAAAAATGGCACGTAAAATACAAAAAGTATTTATTTTCTTTAATAAGAAAGAATTAAGTACCTTTTTAGGCATTTAACTTATTATAAGTGGCCAAAGCAAAACAGAAAAAAAAAACAAAAAGAAGAGACATTTCCACAGACACTCACACGTGCTGGAGAATTAAAATGAAATTGCTACCTTTTAAATTCACAGTCTCTTTCCATTTGTTCTGATATGAACTACGACAATCATTAAATGTTTGGTGAGTGCCGAAAACAGTGTTATTTTGCCAAGATTACACTTGGTTCTAAGAACCACAAACCTGTACATTTAAAATGGACCAAACCGTTACCTAAAATATTTGTTTCCTTAAATTGAGAGTGGTAAGTGGGGCAGGGAAAGGGGGTACAGAGCCAAGTGTCTTGCACAGTAACTATGCTGTATTTCCACTGTCCCTAGTGAATCTTTGTACTTGATCTTCAGTGTTCCTGGAGATAATGATATACTATAGCCAGCTGAAAAGAACATCTGTTTTAAGAACTGTGAACTTACAGGAGCCATTTGTCTGTCTGATCTGTTCCCATTATTTTCCTCCCCATTTTGTACCTTTATATTTCTCCATTGATCAAATCTACACAAAATAAAGGGATTGAGAAAGACACTAAACAGCCATAATTTCTTCTCCCTTCAAAAGGTTACCCACCACCTTTCCTGTTAAATAATTCTGCTTGACATAAAACACCCAACTTTTTTTTTTTTTTTTGGTAAGCATGTGTTTTCCTTTCCCTTTAAATGGAAGTCTTTGGTTCAGTGGGGCTTACATGCTTAATGACAATGTGGTGAAGTTAGCCCAGGAGAACAATGCATCCATTAATCTGCCTCATGCTTAATTGGTAACTACTGTATGGGCTGGCATTTCAAACACAGATTGCAAATGTACTTGAATTAGTTACTGTTTAATTGATACAACTGGCACTCAGCCTAGAACAAACATGCAGCTACTGTAAAAAGAGAGAGGCTTGAAAGCAGAAAGAAAAAGATAAAACAAGGTATGATTGTGATTCACTCTTTAAATGTTTATATCAATTATTTGTGAAATACAATTACATATTTTTTTCATAGTGCTTTGGCAAGCAATAGACCAAAACAAGCTGCTAAAAAATACCCGGAATGCTTGCTGACATAAGAATTTGCAGTGATTCCCAACTCTCTCTCCTCTTTCTTCATTCTACTTTTGTCCTTCCAAGGATAGTTATGTATGTGCAACCGAGGTTGGGGAATGCAATATTTATCATAAGATGAAATGCCTAAGAGGATAATTTTGACAGTGTCTCCACAATAGCAGAATTTCAAAAAAACAGAACACTATTATGGTAATAATTCAACTTTATGACCATTCGCACAAGTGTTACTATCAATATATTTTCAAAAGAAAAAATTAATTCCTTTAAATTAATTCCCAAATAATTTCATGTAGGCACACCATGCAGAAACCATTAGTTTCTACAACTTGCCTTTAAATAGAGAACATTTTGATTCCAGAGATGTTGTAATGATATCGATGGCTGTCATTTTTCAAGCATCTTCCACACACCCAGAATCACACTAAGTGATTCAATCCCCAATTTCTCATTCAGCCCTCCAAAGAGTCATGCTTTCTTCCTCAGTTTAAATCCTTATTTCATTGATTAAATCTATGTAAAATAATTGGACTGAAAAAAAGTATTAAACTGAACTTTTAAAAACCTTTTATAAAAGTTAACCCACGTGGCTTAAATGATTAAATGATTTTGCTTGATATATAAAATGCACAACTGCTATCTTGAATTTACAGGTATATGCTAGTCACGGAAGAGCTGATGCCTTTTTCATACCCAGAATACATATAAAGCAACCAAAATACTTTTCTCCAATCTGCAGTGAAAATCCTTTCGTTGGTTTAGTACAGTTATTGAGTATCTACAGTATATCCCGTTTGGTCTTCAATTATGTGAGATGTTATGTAAAATTGATCTCAATATTATTATCAGTGAGTTTCTAACTGCCAGTATCAAACGCACTGCGTCTATTACATCTTTAAACATTTTTACAGTTTACCTTTGTTTTGTATTATGTGACTTTTGTTTGGTTGAAACTTTGTAGTAGTTGACATTTTTCTTGGCTTTTCTGACATAAAGCCTTCCAGGTTTTCATCCTGCCTGTCTGACTACTTCTGAATTGCTTTGAGGTTCTGATATGGTTTGGATCTGTGTTCCATCCAAATCTCATGTGGAATTGTAACCCCAGGAGGGGCCTGGTGAGAGGTGATTGGATCCTGAGGGTGGATTTTTCCCTTGCTGTTCTCATGATAGTGAGTGAGTTCTCACGAGATTTGGTTATTTAAAAGTGCGTACCACCTCCCCCCTACTCTTTCTTTCTCCGTCTCCAGCCAGGGTAGGAAGTGCCTGCTTCCCCTTTGCCTTCCGCCATGATTTCCTGGGGTCTCCCCAGCCATGCTTCCTGCACAGCCTGCAGAACCATAAACCAATTAAATCTCTTTTCTTTATAAATTATCCAGTCTTGGGTAGTTCTTTTAGCAATGTGAGAATGGATTAATACAGGCTCCTCTTTACCCAACATTTAAACGTGGGAAGTTTGTATTTCAGATTTCTTTTGCTCTGTGCAATCTCATTTTATTCTACTGACTTCACCTGTATACCACATGTAAGTTATATATCACAATCCCATTGTTTTCTGGTAAACTAATATATATGACTTTAAAAAAAAAATCACTGAGAGCAATCTTGGAGAAATTTACAATTCTCTTTTTGCCCCTTAGACTGCTCTGTAACAATTCAGAGCCGCATACACAAAGCCAACTGGACTCCACTAGGTTGTCTAATGATAGCTCATAATGATGTTCAACAGTAGACTCGCCTTCCAGACCACTGCTTTGCTTTTTCTCGTGTCTTGTGAAATGGTGTTTCTATTTACATAGTCACCCAAGCCACTAGCCTGAGTTATTCTTGATTTTTCACTGACCTTCATTCCTCTCCATCTCCACCCACCTGATTTAATCACCAAGTCCTGCAGATTTTTTAATGCTCATAATAGTTGGTTTAAAAATAATTTCTTTCTTTCTGTCCTCAATGATACTTCTTACTTCTCATCTGAATTATTGCACTAGCCAGCTAACCAGTTTTTCTACTCCTACTACCAACTCTTCTCCAGTCCATTCTGTAGAGATGATTCCAAAGAATAAAAATGCACCCTTTCTTGCTGAAGATTGTCCAGAACCCTCATAGGCTTAAGGAAAAGGAACTGTTGTGTTCTAATCTCTGCCTATTTCTTTCGTTTTATTTTCCTCGTTCTCCCAAACATTCCCACCCTTCTCTACCTAGTAATTCCTACTGTTTCTTCAAGGCTCGATTCAACCGTCATCATTCTGCAAAGCTATCTCTAGCCATCCTTGGCTAAGGTAGGTGTTCGTCCTGTCTTCCCGTTGTTCCCTGTGCATACTTCCATTACAGGCTTGATCACATTGCACTCTAACTCTAAGCTATTTTAGAGTTACTGGTTAGGCTGTTAGGCTTTCTGGTTAGGCTGTAATCATATTTTGCTTTCTGGTATTTTTAACTGTTGATACGCTTTACATATTTTTAAAAAGAGAGACCTATTTGTTGGTATCTTCAAAGAGATGTAAAACGTAATATTCAACTCAGTTTTATATACCAGGTATGTAAATATTTGTTCTCTTATTTCTGTGTTGGGGGGACTTTTAAAAATAGATTTAGAGGGTACCAGTGCAGTTTTGTTATATGAATATATTACACGTTGTTGAAGTCTGGACTTTTAGTGTGGCCATCACCCAAATAATGTACATGGTACCCATTAAGTAATTTCTTATCCCTCATCCTGTTCTTGCTTCTAACTAGCTAAGTGACATTGGGGACACCATTTAGCCTTTCTAAGCATTAGCTTCATTATCTAAATAATTATTTTTAAGCTCTTCGTAACACAAATATTTGTATTTAAGTGGTTCTCTCCAATTATGTTGTGTAATTAGACATTTAATACAAGTTTTAATAGTTTACTGTTGTTGAATGAAAAGGTTCTGATTCAAAGTGTTCTTAGATATTGATTTTTGTCCCTACACTAAGTGATGTTAGTTTATATCTATAACGATTTTACATAAGATTTAAGCTGGTTCACGATAACATATCCCCCAAATGGTAAGAAGAAGGAGGAAAAGAAAGGAAGAAGAGGAGCAGGAGGAGGAAGGAAAGAGGAGGAGTAGAGAGAATTGTGTCAAAGAAAAAAGTAAATATTAATACATGTAAAAGTCAAAACTAGAAGCAAGTGAAAATACATGCCTGCACCATAATCGCTATATGTAATTGTAATAGGTCATTTTAAAATTTGATTCTGAGCTTCCTGGTGTACAAAATGAAAAAGACAGCAGTCTCAGATATCAAACACTTATCACAGGAGAAGTAAGGCTTTTCCAGCACTCTTTTCTTTTCTTTTCTTTCTTTTTTTTTTTTTTTGTCAGTCTTACTCTGTCACCCAGTCTGGAGTGCAATGATGCAATCTTGGCTTGCTGCGACCTCCGCCTCCCTGGTTCAAGTGATTCTCCTGCCTCAGCCTCCCAAGTAGCTGGGACTGCAGGTGCCCACCACCACAGCCGGCTAATTTTTTGTGTTTTCAGTAGGGATGGGGTTTCGCCATGTTGGCCAGGCTGATCTCGAACTCCTGACCTCAAGCGATCTGTCCACTTCAGCCTCTCAAGGTGCTGGGATTACAGGAATGAGCCACCACTCCCAGCTTGCAGCACACATTTCTAAAGTAAGTTTTTCCACACTGAGTTGCATGTACAAGGTAGTAAATAATGTACCAGACAATGCCTCAACACAATTCCTAAATAAAATATAAGAATGAAATTGATGAGGTTGTGCTTTAAAATACCCTCCAAGAAAAGGCAAGGCCATTATCTGAAAAGTTTGTAAAAACAAGTCCATCAGTGGCAAAGATATATTTCAATTGGGTAGCCTTCTGATGATCTACTTTGATTAAAAATGAAATCCAGAATACCTAAATAAATAGCAACAGAACACATCCTTTTGTTAATCCTCTTCAAACATCACATTTGCTAGGTTCTAATGGGTCCCCGTGGTGTGTTTGGAGTAAGATTCTACTCTAGGAAGTGGCAGTTGCTCCCTCTTTCACAGTTTAATAAAAGCAGTTACTCTCAGCACTATTCATGTGGTTTATCCTGGTTCCACCACTAATACACCATGTGACTTTGAGCAAGTGACTCAACCTCTCTGTCATTTAGTTTCCTCATCTGCAAAATATTGATAATAACAACACTTAGCTCATTGGATTGTTAGGAGGATAAAATGCAATGAAACATGTAAAATGCCTCTGATGGTGCCTGGTAAATAGAAAGTGCTACTATATATGTTTTTTCTTTCTTTTTTTTTTTTTTTTTTTCTGAGATGGAGTCTTGCTCTGTTGCCCATGCTGGAGTACAGTGGCACAATCTCGGCTCACTGCCACCTCTGCCTCCCGGGTTCAAGCAGTTCTCCTGCCTCAGCCTTCCAAGTAGTTGGGATTACAGGCACGCACCACCACGCCCAGTTGATTTTTTTGTATTTTTAGTACAGATGGGGTTTCCCCATGTTGGTCAGGTTGGTCTCGAACTCCTGACCTCATGATCCGTCCGCTTTGGCCTCCCAACATGCTGGAATTACAGGCATAAGCCACCGTGCCCAGCCAAGGTACTACTATATTACATGAGACTGCCTTAGACATGCATGCTGTATGTGCTTTTCTATTAGTAGCAGCACCAGAAAAACCATCCTTCCCTTTCTGAGAGCAGTATGGATCACACATTCACAGATTGTTTAAGCTATCACTAGATTGTGATCTTGTTTACTTTGGTGATGCACTTCTTCTTGTATTCATAGACATAGAAACTGGATTTTAAAATTTGTATGTGTCCAGCTTTCTTTGTGGCCAATCTTTATCATTCAGTTTTAAACAAAATTTGTCCTCTTGTAAGATCCGATCACACGATTCATTTCCTGGAAACATGAAAAAAGACTCCACATATTAGGCTGGAAGCTTGGATTCTAGTCTAGCTTAGTGATACCATGTCAACCTTCTCATCTGTAATGTTTCAGCATTGAGATCATGGCTAAATGTTCATTTTGGTTTTAAATTTCTGATTCTAAAAATTCAAGTTCAGTTTAAGGTTAAATCTTCTTTTAGACCAAGGGAAACAAATGAACAAAAAACTGTATGTAAAATATCTCTCCATTCTGATATATAGTTCTTATTTCCCTAAATTTCTGAATTCTGATGAGAATTGATGCTTTCCCATTTAATATTGTTTCCTTTGAAGTTCCTGAAATTTTCAGGCTAATAAATCCCCAGGTGGCTCTATTTCAAGTGTTACCCTTTGCAGCAAAGAGCATCTCTCTGAGCTTTAGACCTAATTTTGCTGTGAGTATTCTCACCTCGTTTAAGGCAGGAGCAAAACTTCCCATGGATTGCCCTGTCCCTCCTGTGCCATCCTATCTCTGATCAGAATGGCGAGCGTTGACCTGCAAGAGAAGCTCACTGAGTATTTCTGCTCCTTTCTCCACACCCCTCATCACTCCTTCCAAAGGAGAAAACAAGAGCAAGACACCCTACCCGCAATGGGAAAGAGTTATGATCTGAATTATTCAAACCTTAGCACTGTGTATTGATATAATTTTCAAACAGATGAAGGTGGCAGCACTGGAGTGTGGATTTTTCCTTTCTGGTCTCTGTTGCTTCCACAGAGTACAGAATGGTAATGAGGGCCTGAGCCATTTCCCCTTGGAAAAATCCCAAACATCTCTCTTTATCTTTAGCTCTCTCTTTCTTCCACTCTGTACTCTCTCCTGCCTCAAGGGCAGCCCTAGATCAGGTTTGATAAAGTCTGGAGTAGGAGACACAGCACTGGGGCAGGCACCTTCCTCCTGCCATCCCCTCCCTCTTGCGTTTCTTCATGTTCTATTTCTTCTCATCTTGGGAAGTCCACTTTAATTCAACCTTTCCACCGACCTGAGTGTTGACATTAGAGACCCAGGTTTGGGGTTAGGAAAGAGCCACTTGGCTCAGAGAGGAACAATGCTCCAAGAACAGCTGACTTCCTGAAGACCTATGTTGGAGAGGGAGGCTAGCGCCCAAGCAATAAAGATGTGAGACAATGACCGGCTTGGTCAGACTTTCTCTTGCAACTCTTTTGCCCTTGGAAGCTCACCCCAAGAGGTATCTATAGCAAGGCAGGACACAGTTATTTCTGAGTTCCTTTGCCAAATAACACCACACAATAATCACTTTAATTGCAATTCAATTAACATAGCTACAATTTGGTATAATTTTAACTGATTCTATTATTTTCAATAGCAGCTAGTAGGTGATGGCTGCTTCCTTTCTGTACTATTCCCTTTTGATGAAGAGTGGGAGTGGAAGGGCTTCACTTTCAAAATCTCTGCTCCTTTCCCATTCACTATGCAGATATAGCAGAGTCAATTAGGAAACAATGGTTATATTTTTAAAGCCATGTGTTTTAGTAACTAAATGTTGCTGCTTTAGGACTTTATGCAGCTTTCCAGTTCTGTTCTTTTTAAACTTTTGAATATTTTTTCTTAACTATTTCCCAACAAAATCAATTCCTAAACTTTTTCATAATTATTATTCCCTATAAAATTTACTCTTTCACTGGCTAAATTAAAGTCTTGAGTGTGGAGACCATATCGTGTAATTATAATCCTTACCCCCTATTTTACAAAGCACATAATAACAATCACAGGAAAAATACAAATAGCCAATAAATGTAAAGAACCTATTTATTCTTTTGAGTCATCATAGAAATGCACATTGGAACTGTCTATAAAATTAGTAGTGATACTAATATATTCTAATATTTGAACGATGTTCTAAGAGTGACCAGAGAATGTTGCTGAATGACTAGAAAAACTTTTTGGAAAGCAATTCGTCAACATGTGTTAACAACCTTTAAAATGTATATTGTTAAAGAATATTACAAGACATGGAACAATTGTTGGCATATAATGCTAATTTTAGTATTATTCAATAAATATTTATTAAGGGCCCTCCATGTGCCAGGCACTGCTCTAAGTGAACAAAATAAAGTTCATGTCTTCAAGGAACTTCTATGGAAAACAAAGTCAGCTGGTGGTAGTGATGGCAGCAGCAGCCCATCTGGAGCACCTGCTGCAGAGGTGCCAGCTGCAGTGGGGGAGGCACTGCCAGGGCTGCCCACTCTGCTTAGCCAGCAGGTGCCAAGAACAGGTGGGAGCCCCACCCCCTACTGAGTTGGCAGGATGGGAGCCCCTTGCTCCCTGGCACACAGCTACAGCTGCCCAGCCAGGGTTCTGGACCTGGACATTCCTGCACTCTCAGGGGCCCAGGAACCCCCCTGCCCCTGCAGGCTTGAACATGCCTGCTCCAGCTCCCTGTCCTCTCCCTGTTCCCAGTCCCTGCTTGGGGCAGAGCAAAGTTGTGGCTGAGCCTGGCGGCTGTCGCAACCTGGCCAGGTGTGCGTGTCCTCAGCATGGCACTGACACCAACACCCTGCCACCTTGGCCCCCTCTAGGCTTTGGGCATCACTGAGCATGGGTGGGGGGCAAGGAGGCTGAGAGCAGCTCAGTGCATGCCTGCCGGTGCCTCTCCTTATGGACAGCCTGGGTGCTGTGAATGGCATGTTAAAGGCAGACAGATTCCTAGGCGGGAAGGGGTGGGTCTCTGGTGAAACCCCACTTTCAGGTCAGGAACAGCGTGAAGCCTGGGGGCCAGGCTGCCAGTTCTGGGCAAAGGCTACAGCCCAGAGTGAGAACTTCATTGATGACTGTTCAGCCAATCAGATGGTGCATTTTCCAGGCCCACTGTGGCTGCCTGTGGGCCAGTCAGCACACACTTCCTCCATTCTGAGCACATAAAAACCCCAGACTCAGCCAGACTCACACACTCGTCAGGATGACCTGCCTGCAGCAAGGAACTACCCACTTTGGGTCTCCTGAGAGCTGTTCTGTCACTCAATGAAGCTCCTCTCCACTTTGCTCACCCTCCAGTTGTCCACCTACCTCATTCTTCCTGGATGCAAGACAAGAACTCAGGACCCACTGAATGGCAGGACTGAAAGAGCTATAACACAAACAGGGGTGAAACAAGCCACTTGCTTGCTGCATTGTGGGTGATGAGAAGGAGAGAAGAGCTGTGGCCCTTCAAGGATCTCAGACCTAGGGGCTCCCCAAGCCAGGGCTGTGACATCCTTTTTGTGGCTCTGGAGTTCCTGACATCTCTAAGCTTCCAGGCACCACTATGTTCCCCTCATCCAGATGCAGGTAGAAGCCACTTATGGTACATCTGATCCAGCTGCAGCCTTGCACAGAGCTGGCATCTGAGCTGGCACCTGTGCACATGCCTGGAGCTGCCCACCCCTCCATAATAGCCGATGTGCCTGGCTGTGCACTGTGGCTGGACCCCACACTTGTCTGCTCACACAACTCTTGCTGCTCCATGCCTGGCTTGCCCTTGGTAGGCGTGGGATCTGGGCTGGTAGCATGAGCTCAGCACAGCCTGCCAGGCTGAGTGGGCAGAATGAGCCCCGTGGGCCCAAGCAAAACTCAGGCAAAGACGCCACCAGCCACAGAGATTTCTGGCTGGAAAAGTGACACCCTATGGATCCTGTGACAGTAAGTGCTATGAATAGTATGGCCATATGCCCCCTTTGCCTGAGACAGTTTAAGGCTGTTGTCCCAACATAATTATTAGCAGCTAAGTACTACAATAGAGTGATGGGGAGGGTGTGATTTTAGGCACAGTAGTCAGAGAGCCCTCTTGGAGAAGGTGACTTTTGGGCAGAGACTAGAATGCAATGAAGCAGTGAGCCCCATGACTCTCTGGGGGAAAATCACTTAGCAGCAGAAAGACCAAGTGAGATGGAAGCACCTCATGTGTTTGAGGAGCCCTGACAGGTGAGTGTGGCTGGCGTGGAGGAAGTAACAAGAGAGTGGAAGGGCATGGGATCAGATGAGCTTGGCTCATGAGAAAGCCTTACTTAAACATTCATCTCAGTTTTCTGAAAATGTTAAAAGAAGTTTACTGTGGACTCAATCTTATTTTTTCCCCCAGACATAGCTATGTGCCCTGGTCAGCAGAATTTGTTACTGCAGCTTGTATGGCGAATGCCATGACCAGAGCACCTTCTGTCTGGAATAAGATGCTGTGTCCTTCTCTACAAAGAGTTAAGTCAGATATTGACAACTGAAGAAGGTTGGGACTGTGAGCCACAGTGAGCAAGACTTCGTTGTCCAATATCCCACAGCAAAGCCTTTCTCTTAGGGCACAACCCTCATTTACTTTGTTCTCGATACCATGTTTGAAAAAATTTTAAAGTCAATGTAAACTTCCCATATGGTGATTAATTAGCCAAAGTTTGTTACCTGTAGTTAGTGAGGATAAATTTTCAGAGGAATTTATTTTTTTATTTTATTATTATTATTATTATTATTATTATTATTATTTTGAGATGGAGTTTTGCTCTTCTCACCAAGGCTGGAGGGCAGTGGTGTGATCTCTGTTCACTGCAACCTCTGCCTCCTGGGTTCAAGTGATTCTTCTGCCTCAGCCTCCTGAGTAGCTGGGACTACAGGCATGTACCACCACACCCAGCAGACAGGACTTCATCATGTTGGCCCGGCTGGTCTCAAACTCCTGATCTCAGGTGATCCACCGGCCTCAGCCTCCCAAAGTGCAGGGAATACAGGCATGAGCCACCGCACCCAGCCTGTATTTTTAAATTTAACCCAGAGACACACATGGACCATGCAGGAGGTGAAAGCTAGGCCATCACTTTTGTTCTCTTCACCATGACCAGTGGACCAGATTCTTAATTGAGTGGAAATTAGCCAAGAATTATGCTCCATCTGTACAGGATTTTGAAAAATTAACATCACTGGTTCATACCTTCTGTTAATTATTACTTTATATTTAATCTGTTTCAAAGACACCAATTAAGTGTCTTTTAAGGCAATTATTTTCAAGCTATCTATGTATATGTACCCCAGAAAATTTTGAAAACTTAGGTACACCATCACACATTTTTAAGCTTGACTTCTAAGTTTTTAATCACAAATTCAAATTGTTGCAACAGTTTAATTTCTGGTAGATTGTAACTATTGACATTTTAAAATAAAACTATTATAACACTCTTTGAAATACATCGAATTGAATATAAATACCAGAGCAATTTGCTATCTACCATTATCAATTTACAAATATTAACAAGCTGTTTCAGAGTCAGTAATTTTACATTATGCATTTTTCTTCTTGAACTACTATTTCCATTATACCTAATTATTCATCTCTTCCCCCTAAAATAGGTACATAAATCAAAATTCATATATTTATCATTTCGCCTAGCCATCAGGATCTAAACATTAAATTGTTTTTCTGCATTTTATTATCATTAACATTATTAGATCACATATCTTGATACATAATTATTAAAAATAAAAGTTAGGCTGGGCATGGTGGCTTATGCTTGTAATCCCAGCACTTTGGGAGGCTGAGGCAGGTAGATCACCTGAGGTCAGGATTTCAAGACCAACCTGGCCAACATGGTGAAACCCCATCTCTACTAAAAAATACAAAAATTAGTTGGGTGTGGTGGTGCACACCTATAGTTCCAGCTACACAGGAGGCCAAAGCAGGAGAATCGCTTGAACCTGGGAGGCAGAGGTTACAGTGAGCAGAGATCATGCTACTGAACTTCAGCCTGAGTGACAGAGCGAGACTCCATCTCAAAAAAACTATTAAATTTTATGAATGCTTTTATTATTGCTAGAATTGTGTATTGTCTGGCATTAAGTCCATTCTCAATTTTTGCTTTTGTAGTTGTAAATGCTGAAAAATTTTGTTGACATAAATAAGTTGATCAGAATGGAAGTCTTGTTACAGCACTGTCACTCAATTCCATGAACTTCCCCTAAATTACATGTCAGATATCACAAAGTGACCTATGATCAAACATTTCCATAATTAGCTAAAAACTTGTTTGGGGTATCCTTCAATTTTGTGGGAAACAAAATATTTTTTAAGAAACATGACTTGCAAAGGATATTTTATCTTTAGCCAGATACTAAATACATCTTTCTCAGTCTCTGGAAAGGATACTTAAGAGCTTTACCAAGACAATTCAAATGACTACAGTCAGTTACACTTTCACTTGGAGGCATCTTGTACTAAACATGCTAATATTTTATACACACTGTACTAAGAAAGATTTGTTTTAAAAAAAAAGAAAGTAAAGTTTAATTTCAGAAGTCCTTTGCTAACACAATAATTTTTTAAATTTTATCACATACTTCAAGTACATTCTTGTCAACATTTGGGGATTCAGACTTAGCTCACTGAACTTATGAGAACTGTCCACCATATAAACTAAATGACAAATGAGCCCTCCTTGTCAAAGCCACCAGTCAAGTCAGACTCCCCTTCTGCCTGAAATGTATGATTTCACTTTTCAATTTAAAGAAATGAGTTAATAAGCATTCCATGACAACCATCTCCCTGTTGTCTTCTAATTGCAGAATAGAGAAAAAGATACAATAGTAGATGATTAGATAGAACACAGAGCCTGGCCATGAATTTTTCCTGTGAGTGAAATTAGAAGCCCCTGCTCTCATGAGAGTATAAGTGAGGGGTTGGAAAAAGTGATGGGATCGCATGAAAAAATTCAAACTATCCTTCTCTTTGGTACCCATGAGACTTTTACATCTTAAGGCAATGAAACAAAACAATCAGGATAGGTGAGAGAAACATTGTATTTATTTGTTCATCTGTCTGTCTGTTTAGTGAAATGGGAGAAGGTGATTAGGAAAGGAGAGAAGGGTCAGGAGTATCAGGACGCTTCCACCCCAAGCCTGCATTCTCAGTCAGTGGAATGACCACACGTGACAGTTGAGAACTCGGACGTTGATTCCCTTTAAGCTCTTCATAGCTGTGTTCATGTTCAGGAGAACAGTGCCGTGATGTGAATACTGATGTTGTAGAAGAATAAGATTCCCTGCCCTCAGGGAATTTATAACCTAGAGAAGGAGTGCATGCATTTGTCAGTTCACCCCATGAGTACTGATATGGGGCCTTCTATATTCAAGAGACTATGAAAGGTGCTGTCATGCAAGAGAAATACAGAAATGACTTACGTATGGACTGTGCCCTCAACAGTCAGTGAGTCTGGTCATATGAGGAAGAAAGGGATAGATCCTGTGAGAGGACAGAGATGAAGGAATATGTGAGTTCAGAGACGGGGAAGATTACTTCCTGACGAGCCTCTGCAAAGGTTATATGGGATTTGGCCATGAGAAGATAAAGTGAGAACATTCCATGATATATGTAACATTAAGAAATTCGGCCAGTCTTGGTGGCTCACCCCTGTAATCCCAGCACTTTGAGAGACCAAGGCAGGCGGATCGCTTGAGGTCAGGAGTTCAAGACCAGCCTGGCCAACATGGTGAAACCCCATCTCTACTAAAAAATACAAAAATTAGCTGGGAATAGTGGTGGGCACCTGTAATCCCAGCTACTTGAGAGGCTGAGGTGGGAGAATTGCTTAAACCCAGGAGGTGGAAGTTGCAGTGAGCCAAGATCATGCCATTGCACTCCATCCTGGGTGACAGAAAGAGAACCCCTCTCAAAAAAAAAAGAAATTCAGAGGGCTTATATAACAACCAAAACCATATAGTAGATGTTGAGTGGACAGACTTATGGGAAATGAGATTGACAAAGGAATTAAGACTAAGATGTTGAAGGCCAGAGGATCTGATGTGTATTCTAAAGGCACTGGTTTTTTTTTTTTAATTATAAAATTATTGTAGAAGCAATACATATCCCTTAGAGGAAACTTGGAAATAATTTTTCTCCTAGAGATCTTTATTCTTATTAATATCTTGTGTATATTCTTCCAAACTTTCTATGCATACTCATATCCCTAGCAGCTAGAATAGCACCCTAGCATACTCAATAGTTCTGAATATTTTTAAAACTAGAAATTTTATATCTGTCATTTTGCAAATTGATTTTTTTCACTTAAATACATATTATACAATATTTTCACGTCAACTAACTGTACACCATCTTTCAGTGGCTACATGGTATTTCATTGTATGGATGTGTGCAATTTTTTATTGTCACAGAATTATTACCAAGTTTTAGCTCTTATAAACAATGTTGCCATAAGAAATTAGTATATATTACTAAAATTTAATTGGTTGAAATTATGCACGTGTAATTTTAGAGGATTTCTGAAAAATTGCACCAGTTCACATTTAAATCGCTGTTCACAAAATGTGTTTGCTTATCCTTAAACTCAATCATATTGGGTAGTTTTTTAAAAACTTTATGAATAAGAAAGATTTTTAAAAAGGATTTCACATGTTTCTTTGCTTTCTGTTAAGGTTAAATATTTTTTACACGTTTATTGGCTGTTGTTCAGTTTCTTTTTTGGGACTTGTCTACACATTGTAGACACAAGTTTTCTGCAAGAGAGGGAAATGATATCATAAGAACTACACTTGAAGAGGTATTCATGGGGGTGGGGGGTGGATTTAGGATGAATTGGAGAAACAATTAGGAAAAGGTAGGAGAGGGGTTGGATCACCTTGGCAATGACAGAGAACAGTTTCCGTAGAGCACTGTGGGCACCAGATAGTGATTTCAGGCACTGAGAAGTGAGGAGGTTGAGAAAACAAAAGCCACATCATACAAGGCTTTTTCATAACATTGACTGGGAAAGAGAAGCAAGGACAGTGTGAGTTGGGGCTAGGGGCACCTGGGCACCTTTTTAGGCTGTAGATACGTTCTGTTGAGACTGAAATAAAGAAAATGGGGCCTGTGAGATGGAGTCAAGTCTGAGAGCAAGTGAGAAAGAACAGGATGGGTGGCACAGTGGTGGGCTGAGTTCTCCAAACCAGGAGAAAAAGAGACACAGGGTCAAAATCTAGAGAACTTTTAATGATGCATAAATTAAACAAATGCATGTTTGTGTGTGAAAACACGAGGCAAGGAAGAATATGGCAAGTCTTAGAAATAGAATGTGAAATGCTGTGGAAGTGGAGGGGAGCTGGGCTGATGGATTTCCGGAAGTGGCAGCCTTTGGGCTGGTCCTTGAATGGATGGGTTCCTGTGGCGGCCGGGGCACTCTTGTACTAGGAAAGAATATTGATAGAGGCACAGAGACAGTCAGTCAGCAGGGCAGGGAGGGTTCAGAGAGTGGAAAGGAGGAGGCTTCGGGAAGTGAAGAGGGTGTGGGGAAGTTAAGAGAGAAAAACCTGGGCAGGGAAGTCAGGTCTAGGTGTTCCCAGGTACTGGGGACTCAGGCCTAACATCAGACCTACACTTGGAATTCTCAAAAGGACTTTCACAGACATGATGGCATGTAAGCCTTTCTCTGCCCCTAGGATTGTTATCTTTAATTCAGTATAACAATGAGGAATCTGAGGCCCTAAAGGCTACCCATCTTGCCCAAGATCACTGAGGATAAAGGAAAGAAGGGAACCAGAGTGGGGGTCACCTGAGTCCTCGTGCAGTGCTTTTAGCTCGCCCCAAATGTCTTTTATTTGACTCTGAGGCAGTGAGAATCCTCTGAAGATTTCCGAGTGGCATGATCAGAGCTGGTGGATGATGTTATAAAACCAAATATATTAGTCACTTTCAGTCCTTTGAAAGTTCTCAGAGAATCGAGTAGAACTTTGCCATGACTGGCATATTTTTATCTAGTTCAAAGGTTCATCAAAGTCCTTTACAGATTAATGAGTTAAAGTTTGCTTGCGACTGTGTAGGTAAACGGAGCAACCTAATTATGTTCCCGGCATATCAAATACTGCAGCTCACTTTGCCTAAATCTAATTTAGATATTTATACACTTTCTAAAAATAGAAAATTGAGAATTATCCATTATCCAGAACTAGTCATTCAATTAACAAGGAGATAAATACTAAAGAGCCTGCTCCCAATCATCAGAAAATGAGGGCATGGTGAGATCGAGGACATAAAACCATTGACCGTCATAGCACACCTTGGCAGGAAAGGACTCTACTACCCTTGGTGTGACTGGCATTTTTTCAGCTATAGTCTGCGCTAAGCCTGTTACATGTTTGCTCTTTTCTCACTCTATGGGATATTACCATGGTCCCTTTGCAGATTGAAAACTGAGGCTATGAACCACAGATCCCTAATTTGCCCAAAGAGGCTAAGCTCTGATTCTGACCCAGACTGGTCACAATAGTCCCCTTAAAGGAAAAATCAGATTCCATTTAGTGTGGCACGGCACTGATTAATATGATTTGAGAACATATCAAAAGCACAGCCTATTTCTGCCAATTCAAGTTTATTGACTAACACAGACAAACTTATAGTTTTGCTATGTAGTACCCACAGAATTCAAAGTAAGAAATAATGGCAGAAATGAGGATTCTTGTTCTGGTTTTTCTTTTTGCAAATTACAAAAGATGAGTTAGTTACTTTAACAGACACAAATTGGGTGGGTTCTTTTACACATTCTTCTCCTCTTAGGTGTTTGCTATACGATCTGATTGGGTAGCGGCTATAATGACAGGTGAGGAAATGTAAATGTAATCAGTAGTTATGTAAATGTAGTACTTCCCCTAAATGCACGCTAACACCACCTGATTTCTCCCCAGGGCTCCAGAGCAGCCCTAACACCAAGCGCTTTGGTAGATTGAGGGATATGAACTTGCAGTAGGGGCTTGGTAAGAAAAGGAAGTACTCAGCCGGACTTGCTGAAACTAACAGCTTTCACGGGGAATTCAGAAGAACCTTGATGTAGAAGAAAAGAAATGCAGGCAGGTTTCCCCAGCCAGACTAAACCTGGGTCAAATGCCAGCTCAGCCATTTACTAGCCGCTTGATTTGGGGTCTAATTATTTAACTAATCTAAGGCTCAATCTTTTCATCCGCAAAATGGGAAGTATAGTATTTGCTTCACACAAGGTTGTGAAATGTATATGAAGTAATTTATAAAAAACACCTAGCTCATTGCCTGACACATGGTAAGTGCCTAACAAAGGTTAATGTCCCTTAATCTCTAGGGAGAAATCTAGTTAAGCAAGGAACTTCAGCAGACTTACAGTATCTCTAAAAATATGCTTATATCTCACAGAAGGAAAAAAATAAGGTGGTGATCAGTTGATATAATTTATCCTTAATCGCAAAAAAATATAAATACAAGTTACAAATATTTTTATTTATACATAAATCAAAAGGTTCCAGTTATGGGTTATGTAAGTAATAGCAAAATATGCATACTGGTGTATTTGAAAGGCTTACTATTTTGTATTCCAAAGGATTTGAAAGTACAGTATTTTACAATAGTTTAGTTCCTTTAAAATGTAACTATTTTCAGCAGCAACCATTTCCTAACCTAACAAAATCTTCGGTTTCAGTAAACACTTTCCATTATAGGTTAAATTTTACCTCCTACTGAAAAAGCAATGATGCTAGGTGACTTTCATCACCTGTAATATCAGAAGATCAAAAAACCCTTTAGAAAAGCAGGGAGACCTATATTTCCACTTCCTGTTTCTCAGATTAGAGCAACAATGACAGGATCAATTGGAAATAGATCTGGAAATCAATTAATATGATATAAAGACTAAACTTGGGCTATAACCCAAATTAAGGTAGATTACTAGTTCTATAACATAGAAGGTGATAACAGATTTCTCAAAATTATCTTGATTGTAGTTTTATAATTTTTGCTTTGAACTGGAATATTATTTCCTATATTCTCCCCATAGTGAATAAGTTATTATTTTCCTTTCCATCCTAATTTTTTAATAAAGGGATAGTTTGTTGAGAAAAATACAAATTTCTTGGGTTTCTGTTTCTCATCCTTTAGAGGAGACTTAGATCAAGATTCTTAAGTACATTAAAAAAATAGCAATATCGTCACTGTGTCTATAGAACGCTGATGGCTTTGGTAAGTAATAACAGGGAGACGCTGGATGAGTGAACCCATTTCAGTAACAGCAAAAACTGTGGTGCATACAGGATAGAAGAAAGAAAATTATGGTAAAAAAAATTAGGTATTTAAAAAAAATTTTTAAACCCTCTGGCACCATAGCAAACTCTGAGATAAATGCACTCTGTGGGGCTCCATTCTATCAATTTAAGAAACAATTCAACTTTTTTATTATTCTGCTTCAACAGTTTAAATAGGAAACAAAATCAAAATATTGTATTGATGTGCTATTTTTCTGCAAGAAGAGTGAATTTGTGTGTAGATGTGCTCAATGCAGTTCAAAAGTAATGCAAGTGAGGAAAGAATGTAAATTTATTCTTGGACAACAATGATATAAACCCATTGACTTTCTTTCTTAAGAGGAAGAATAGGACCTGGAACCTGTGGTGAAGGTATGAAGTTTACACTTTCTTCAGTTAAAGACCAGCATATGGAAAACAACTTACAACCTTGACCCTAAGCTGGAGCTCAAGGGCCTTCCTGCTCTTTCAGGCAAGTGGGCTGGTTGCCCTGGAAGCACCTCAGCTTGGAGAAGACTCAAAAATCAAAGTTCTACCACTAACTAATGGGGTGGCCTTGAGAAAACAACTCAGCCATTTTAGGTCTCAGAGTCCTCCTATGTAAAAATGAACACAGCGATCCTTAAATTTCAAAGGTTATTACAGAGAGTCAATTAAATAAGTGTATACTGCAAACTGTAAAGCATTCTAGGAGTTTATTTTTAATATTCAGAGCTGAGCCCCACTTGGCAACATCTACTCAGTAACTCTATTGGTGATATTGAGTAAGAAGAAAGGATTAACAACACGATGCACACATAAATTTCAAGTTTTTTTCTCAAACTGCACAAATTTGAACACCACTGCATTTAACAGAGATACATACAGCTTCATAGTTATCAGATCAGCCTCCAATTTTTCATCAAACCTTTTTGAGGTTGTTTTGTTTTGTTAATGCATGATTTCTCCTTGTGAGTCCTAAACCTGTCACAGTGGAGGTTCTTTAGGTTCTCTTTTTCTTTAAAAATTTAATTTCACTTTATGACATGTAAATATCAAAATAATAAATCTTATAGAGAAGACATACTATGTAAAATCCCCACAGTAACTAACGAATACTTCAGATTATGTCAGAAAGACAAGGGAATGATGAAGAAATAGAAAGAAGAAAACATTGCCAAATTTTTCATCCTACATAGAGAATCAGTAAGGATTTTCCTTTATTCTTAATGATTAAAGAATTAGTTCTATTTTTGGTTAAATTAAACTTAAGACTAAAGGGGGAAAAGGAGTATACAACCCCCAAATAGGCTGAGATAAATATGTAAAGAAAAAAATATAGAAGGAAATAGATCAAAATGTTAATGTTATAAGAGGAGTTGCTTTTAAGTGAGTTGAATTATTTGGCTTGTCTGAACTTCCCGAGGCATATATATATATGTATATATAAAATATATATATATGTATATATATATATTTATATTTATATATATATATTTTAATTTCCTAGGACAATCCTTTTCTCCATAGCAGGAGCTCAGTACATAGCAGGCACACTATCCATGCCTCCCTTTAAGCCAGGTAGGGACCAACAAGTTGGAGGACTCTCCCAGAAGAGGACCCACCTAAAATGCCTGGAGACTACTTCTTGAGGCAGAGAGCTTTAGGTTGTGTAATGTGCTTGGCCAGGTGCCATGCAACCTTTCTGCAGTATACATTATATATAATATATATATTATATATATTTATAGATTTATATATATAAAATATATATATATATGCCTCGGGAAGTTCAGACAAGCCAAATAATTCAACTCGCTTAGAAACAACTCCTCTTATAACATTAACATTTTGATCTATTTCCTTCCATATTTTTTAATATGTATATTTTTTACATTTCACTTTCCATATAAATATATATATGTGGTACATTTCACTTTCATAAACAGAAAAATAAAATCTACAAACAGAGAATTTATAAGAGGTGCTCAAGTAGACATTTTTTTCTGCAGAGTGCACCTTGCACAGCTGTAGGAGGCATCCTTCACATCAGAGACTATGTGAAGGGCTGATTCCAGTTGTAAAGGACACACCTGGGGCAGTCCCACACAGGGATACTGCAGAAAGGTCACATGGCACCCGGCCAAGCACATTACACAACCTAAAGCTCTCTGATTGCCTCAAGAAGTAGTCTCCAGGCATTTTAGGTGAGTCCTCTTCTGGGACAGTCCTCCAACTTGTTGGTCCCTACCTGGCTTAAAGGGAGGCGTGGATAGTGTGCCTGCTATGTACTGAGCTCCTGCTATGGAGAAAAGGGTTGTCCTAGGAAATTAATGTATGTTACATCATTTAATCTTCATGACAACTCTGTGAAGTAGGTATTCTTTATCTTACACATGTGGATCCAAGATTAGGTGACTTGGCTAAGGAAGAACTTTGCAGGATCCCCAGCACCTCTAGGATCATGGAGAGTCCCCCTAAGAAGACCTGCAGGCAAAAATCTCCTTTCTCTCTGTGCATCACCACAGGGGCCCTTTCTTTTCTGCCTCCTCCCAGGGGCTTGTATTAGTTCATTCTCACACTGCTATAAAGATACTACCTGAGACTGGGTAACTTATAAATAAAAGAGGTTTAATTGACTCACATTTCCTCATGGCTGGGCAGGCCTCAGGAAACTTACAATCATGGCAGAAGGGGAAGCAGCATCTTCTTCACAAGGTGACAGGAAAGAGAGAGCACAGGGGAAATACTAGACACTTATCAACTATACCTGGCAAGAACTCCCTTACTATCATGGGGAAACTGCCCCCAATGATCCAATCACCTCCCCCCAAGTCCCTCCTTCAACACGTGGAGATTACAATTCAAGATGAGTCTAGGGTGGGGACACAGAGCCAAACCATATCAGGGCTGCATTTTTCTATTCACCCAGGCTCTTGATTTTGATTCCCCTTGATCTATTCAGATCTTCTATCTGACATGTAGTAGAATTTCTCCAAAATTATCCTGGAGAAGAGTCACTTAATAGTTGATTCCTTACAAAATATATCATAGAGTGCTCTCTCAATGACTTTACACTGAACAGAAAAGTGATTTAAACAAGTACCCCTAATGTAGTCTGACTAAGTATGCCTTTCGTCTTCTCTATGTGCCATTCATCTTGCCTTGGGTTAAAAATTGGCCATCAAACCTACTATGTCTCCTCTACTGGAGGCAACTCGATACACATGCCTCACCTCCAACAGGCAATGAGTGCAGATATACATAGCTTAGACCGCAAGGATTTCTGGAATACAACCAGGTTCCCCTGGACTCAAGATGGACAACTTATTTGTGCCCAACCCCATGGAAACTGTTTCTGGACAGTATCGGCTCTTTAGAAATGCTGTTTGGATACTTAATTAGGTCCACCCTCCCCTTCCGGTTAACTTGACAACCTGCTGCCAGAGTTAATAATTAACAAGGTGTCACAATACGTCTCACAGTCACTCAATTCTTTGCTCACCTGCCTCCCTGTCTCTTCCTGCTGCTTCTGAATTGCTTGAACTCCCCTGGGATACAAACTCCCTATAATAAATCATGGCACAAAGGCACAGACTTTTGTGGCTCTAACTGAAATTCACAATTGGGCAAGCCCAGGAGGCAATCACCTGGCCATTGCCCTAACCCATATGCATCCTTAGTGCTGCTTGCACACAGGTGAGCATGAAGTTTTAATGAGGCCTTCACTGCAAATGCATTGTGCAATTACTGTTAAGATGGGCGAACATTTGGCCCGCCAAGAATTGCATTTTAAGCAGTAGGGTTTCCCTATTAGCTGTTCCCAGCTATTAATTCAACCAGTTTGTTTATACATTTTGACAATTGTTCATGTGAAAGAGACCTGGGGATTTTATTTGACCACAATTTCATTATAAGCTAACAGTATGATAGGGCTGCTAATAAAAGTTAATGCAAGTTTAGCCTACATTAAGTGAATAGTCTAAATAAAGAACAGCAATATTGCCAATATGCCTTACTCTTATAGGTACATGGATCTTATTTTTCTCAACCAAAATTTGGCAAGTACAATTGTGCATGCAGAGACTCTGGCATGGAGCATTTGAAAATATAACTGTCCTTAAAAAGCCAGGATGTGTGGTTGGCATACATAAAGAACAGCCACTTATTCATTCAGCCACTCATTTCTTCCTTTGTTGAAGAAAATGTCTCTTGAATACACACTCTGTCCTAGGCCTTGTTCTAGATACAAGGGTAAAAAGGAATTGTTCTCTGATTCTAGGAGGTTTTATTCTCCTGGGAAGTACAGATAAAGAGACATTTAAGAAAAGGTGAGCTTTGTGGGTAAGTAGAGTTGCTATGAATGTAGTTTACAGAGGGAGCATGAGAAAAGAAACTCTGTCTGAGAAACATTAATCCCCTTTAAATGATCGACCCCCCTGAGAGGTGTGGAAACGTGGCAGCAGTCCCCTCTCACTCACCCTTGAGCTAGGTAATCACCTCTTGAAGCTACTTGCTCTGCTGGCTCTACACTGATGCCAAACAGACATAAATTATCTTCTCAGTGCCATACACTGCATATGCTGGACACCATAACTCACACTCTATAGTTCAACAATGCATAGCCAATCACTAATCTATGTTATTTTCATAGACTAATGAGAATTCCTGAAAACAACTTTTGTCATCACCTGGCCTCCTTATTGGTTCTTTTTTCTTTAAAAACTCAAGACTCTTGTTTGTTCCCAGATCAGGTCCCAAGGTAACTTGGAAGTGTTTCCAGGCTGCAGTCCCCAATCTTGGCCTAAATAAACTCTGCATTAATTTTGCCTCAGTTTCTTTCTTTAGTTGACAAACATGTGCTACAGCGTTGAAGGGTTAGGAAAGGCTGCCCTGAAGAAGTTAATACCCAAGAGAGAGAGTGATGATTGAGGAGAGGTGTAGAAAACAGAAATGTGGGTGAGGGGTGGGGGAAGGACAAGGCTGGAAGATGCCCCAGGGAGAGTGAGAATGATTCAATATGGCTACAGTATCCAGAGTAGGAGAATAAAACTATGCCAGAGAGGTCAGTGAGGACTAGATGATGTAATCTCTAAGTTCCATTGGAGAAACAAATACATAAACAAATATAAAATCAAAACTAACACAAACAAACATGTTAATTGCCGTACAGAAATGGCGAAGACTAAGTGCTACGAGAGCATAGGAGAGTCAGTGCTAGCTTTGCCTGGAAGAAGTCATAAAGAAGTTGGATAAGGTTTTGAAGGGCGAGGCATCGACCACACGAGAAAGCAGTGGAGCGTTGTCACACAGAGGACGTTGCTGTGCACTGTCACAACGAACCACTTGAGGATGGTGGAGTGAATGGTCTGAGGAGAAGAAGGATGGGAGACAGGACTACAAAAGGTGTGTCCTGCATGATACGACATGGGGAGGAATTTCAACTTCACTCTGGGTAAATCAGAAACCAACAAAGGATTTTAAGCTTACACATGATGTTTTTGTTTTCTATTACTGCATAACAAAGCACTTCAAAATTTAGAGGCTTAAAATAGCAGCAATTTTCAATTTGTAACGATTCAATGGGCAGCAGGGCAGTTCTCCGTGTCAGGTCAACTGGGGTCTCCCATGCAGCTGCATTCAACTGGGAACTCAGCAGGGGCTGAAAATCCAAGATGCCTCACTCATGTTGAGGCCTTGGTGCTGGCTATTGGCTAAGGTGCCTCATTCCTCCCACACAGCCCCTCTTCCTCCAACAGTCACTCATAAACCATCCTCCTTACAGCATGGTGGCTGGAATCCAAAAGGGAAGATTTCTAGGGGACAATCCCGGACATGCCAGCACTTATGAAATCTCCAATTGCATCATTATTGTTAATACCTGATTAGTCAAAGCAAGTCATCTGGTCAACCCCAGAGTCAATGTAGGTTGTGATTTCTCAAGGGCATGACTTCTGGGAGACATAACTCATTGAGGAGCCACCAATGTGAAAGTCTACCACAGTGTGAGAAGGAAACCTTCTCATAGTATGGAGGATGGTGTGGAAGAGTGAACAGGGACATCATTGAAAAGCTGTTACGATGTTTTATGAAAAAGGTAAAGGGTGACTATATTCTAGCATATAGGATAAAATTAAGGTAAGAACCATTGCTAAAGTAGAATAAATATAACGTGATGACTTACTTGATGTGAGGGGTTAGAGAGCAGGAGAAAGAGACTGAGAGTAAATAGCTTAGTTGGAGACATCTAGTAGACTTGTATATTCTGCCTGGGGGTATTTGAAAAGTAGAGATATTGTTTTGGGAATGACAGATAAAGCCAGGGTAATACATTAGATCACAGAAAAGAGAAGTAACCATCAAAAGAGATTAAGACAAATGGTTAGCAACATAAAAACCAAACGAGAATAGTCTCATTTGGAACTCAGAATAAGATAAAGTAATGGAGAGATCAATACAGTAGTACTCCCATATCCGTGGTTTCTCTTTCCTCAGTTTCAGTTACCCGCAATCAACAGTGGTCCACAAATATTAAGTGGAAAATTACAGAACTAAATATTCACATAACTTTGATAATAATATGTTGTTATGATTGTTCTATTTTGTTGTTAGTTTACTATCCTACTGTGCCTAATTTATAAATTAAACTTTATGATAGGTATGTATGTATAGGAAAAAACAGTATATACAGGGCTCAGTGCTATCTGCAGTTTTAGGCATCCACTGGGAACACTGGAACTTATCCCTGAAGGACAAGGGGGAATTACTGTATTGTCAAATTTGATGTCAAGTAAAATAAAGATGAAAATTTGTGATTGTGATTGGTAATTAGGATGCCAATGATATTCTTTAGGGTTGATAGTTGAGTGCTTCAGGATGGTAACAAATTATAGTGAACTGGAATGAGTGAGGTATAAAGAAGTAGAGATAATACCTCTTTGGATTTTCCTAACATCCTCTGAATCCAGCAGCCACTGGTGGCTGTTAGTCCTGTCCATGTGGCTCTGTGAACACTGAGATCAAGTCTATCCACCAAATGTCAAGTTGTTTGGAATGTGGTCCTAAGGTCACATGCCCAGTCAGGCATCCAATAGCTGGAGAATTAAGCTCTCACACTGAGTATATCTCCTATTACAAGATGTCTCTTATTAATCTAAACAGCTATAGTTTAATGAAGGAGAGAGAAAGAGAAAGGGGATAAGAGAAAGAAAATGAGAAATTTTTCAAAGAGAAAATCAAGGACTATTTGAAAGATGGAGGAGGTATAGAAGTTACTTGAGCCATTAATATATCTATTATCTGTTATATATTATGCTTGCCATTTATAGCTGAAATCAAGTTTGACCATTATAATACAAAGATTAGTCTAGGAACCTATTCAGCATCCGGATTGTGACATAAGGAAGCCATATTGCTAAGTACATGCTTCTTTTATAAAGCAAAATTCCAATTACCTAAAACAATCATTCCAACTGTGACCAAACTTCTTTCTGCTCATGAGTGGGGTGCTTTGTTTTATTGTGTACAGAAGCCATGAAATCATACAAACTTAAACCTCCAAGCCACGGAATAAAGATTCTTCTTTATCCTATGTTGTATGTTAAATGTTGCAAAGATCCAAATAAAATGTCCTTATAAATGTAATTCAAATATCATATGGGCCTCACTACCCTTAAATGCTACCTCAAATCTTCTCACTCTTGTACATACTTAATTCCATTACCTAAGACCTTCCCTCATATTTCTGAATCCCCAAGGCAAGGTGAGGGAAAGGTCAACTCTGTTCATGGATTCCTCTACTCCCTGGGCTGCTGCTTCTTCATGTCTGTTTTCTGTTCAGCTCTGATTGACACTAGTGTTTCATTCAGCCACTTTGAATTTTTTAAATATCTCAACCCACGCAAAGCATATTTAAGAATACAGACTTCATTAAGATTCCCAGGGCAAGGCAAGGTTGAGCAGTCTCAGAATTGATTTATCTTTTTGGCTTCTCTATCTTCTTTCCTCATGCTCAGGAGGAGTCATCATCTTTTCCCCTCCATTTGAGATGTAAAACAAATCCACTTCTTCTTCAGTCTCATGCAGCGAACCCCCTTGCTGGTTATCACAGCTGGTTCTTACCTCCCCAAGCAGGATCCATCCAGATCATTTCCCAGTAAAGATATTTTTTTTTTTACAAGGGGAAGGCTGACGCCAGCTATTAATATATTCTCCAACCCTACTACATAATGAATAATATCTGCTCAATGTCTGGTAATCATATGCTGGAAATTTTTCCAGGGTGATTTTCTATTTTGCAATACTATTGTTTTTAATAAATGCAATTCATTTTGCATACAAAAAAACGTGCTATGTGTTTCTATAACATTCTATAATAATTAGATGATATAAAATTAAATACTCTATAGTTATATATTATACATATACATAAATTCAAAACTTGGAGAAAATAATTCATCAGATCATGTGTTTAGTTTTTATTATTTGGAAAACATGCTCATTTTACTGGTGGTAGCCATGGCTTAGAAAGGTGGGAAAAATGGATTGGAAGCCTATACAAGTACTTATATCCATCTCAGTTTTTGCAGAAAGAAACTGGGAAGATATGAATATGATGTTTCTGCGGCCAATAACCATAGCCTGCTTAGTCTCTAAGGGTCCACTCAACTAAGAATGAGAAAGAGCTCATACTTCCTCCAACGCTTACATAAGTCTTTGCTGCAATGTTCACCATTCTCAAGTTGACATCATAGGACTTATTTCATACATAAAGACACAGAATCTCAGAAAAACCTGCAAAGACTATTCTCAATTTGTAGAATGATAGGGGAATGCATGGGCGTTTCACATGAGTGAAAAGGTAACGGCTTCTATTTTGACTCTGGCATTTATTTTAGGTACCCAACTTTGGGCAAATGACTTAATTCCCCTATGCCCTAGTGTTTGTATCTGGAAAATAACACCACCACCTACCTCCTAGGCTCACTGTGACTTTTACATGAGTGAATACGTGTGATGCTCCTGGAAGAACGCCTGACGCACAGTAAGCACACATTGAAATCCAACGGTCCTAGCTGCTTTCAGACTCAGATCAAGGGGATATTCTAAAAGGTAATACTTGAAAATATTATTTGGTCTCTCACAGAAGTTTAGATAAGATTCTCTGTAGTGATATGTATTTGATTAACATTTTATTGTTTCTTTGGTATTTTTCATTTATTATTTAGTGCCAGCCAGCATGAGGAATGGCAGGATCCCCAAACCCCTTGGGCCCCAAATGGCCTCTGCATTCTCTGCCTTGGCCCTCCTGGGTCCTTCTCAGGCTCCCTGACTCCAAGGAGGGCTTATCACCTGCAGCCACAGCACCACGCAGGTCTCCTGTGGGAGGGACGTCAGTCTCTTGGTCATCAAATGGTATATCAAGTTAGAGGGTTTTGCCAAAATTTCTGCTTAAAGCCTCAGAATTTAAATTTATGTGACAGGTATCACCTCACAGCAATTTTTTTAAGCAACTTTTTCCCCCCTAACCAACAAAATACTGTATTTTAAATAAACTGTTCCACTGCATTGACTTTTACAACAGATAGTTGATAGAACTCTATAAAGTGAATTCTTTCCTAAGCTGTTGTACTAGTGTACCTTGCGGTCAGGATTACATTTTTTTCTATGGTCTTGTCGTTAATTAATTTTCAGTGACCCTTTATAATTCATTTGACATTAATTATAAAATATAACTTACAACGTTCACCAAAACTTAAAAAACATAAAAATGAAACTACCGGGAGGCAATCACTGTTAGACTTGGTGTAGATGTCCAGAATTACTTCTTGCACCATATGCAATCAGAAATACATATTTTCACAAATGCGTATAATCATATAAATTATATAAATTAGGAACTATATAAATTAGGATTTTGTATCCAGATTTCTTATTTAGCATCTTTCCATGATCACAAATGGTACTCTACATGATCATTTTTGCCATATACTCTGATTTTTAAAACAATTCCTTCTTAATACACATTTAGATTTTTTCCCACATAGGATTATAAACTCTGTGAACATATTTCTTTGAATTTAGTCACCAAAATAAATCTAAGGCAAGAGGAGACACAAAAGAAGACACTAAAAAATACAAGCATTCATATGATTAGGTTTGCCCCTAAAATTCCCTCCGTAGTTGTGTCTTGCTGTAAGGGTGGAGTTACTTACATGGCTCCTTATTCAGCCACACGTTTGATTTGAGTGCTCAGGACACATGAAGCCCTTAAGCTGTGCACACTCTCTGTATTTAGGTTGTTTTTTATAAGAGTTTAATAATTCAGCATTTGAGGAGTTTCCCTGAAGTCTATAATTACTGTTTCCATGATTCCCTTACAATAATTTTAAAGCATCTTCAGTCATAATTTTTGGCTCTAAATCCAAACCACCTGAAAGGTGCCCAGCCTGTGTAGCTCTTCCAAGACCCCCATTTCACTGGTCGTGTCAGCCTGGGAGATGTTATGTAAAAGTAAACAACAATGACCCAATAGGTTGCCCAGGATATTTATGATCAAACATGTTATATGTGTAAAGGAATTCATTTTTATCTCTGTGTGTGTACACATATATGTGTATTTTATCATATATTTGTAAAGATGCATATAGACACATGTATCATGAAATTCAAACCTCTAGCAATCTTCTCCATTATTTTGCTAATTGTCTGGAGTTTTGAGTAAAAATTTTCCAAGGAATATAGCCTAGAACAACAAGTTCTTTTTTTGAGAGTAGACTAATAATAGCTCATGCTTACTGCAGCAGTTCCCCCCAGAAGGATCCCCAAGCACTCAGCAGAACACGTACATAGAATTAGCATCACTCATCCAGCGGAGGGAGGCATATGGAATCCAATAGCCATTCTTCACCTGCCATGTTACGAAGCCTAGCACAGTAGGATTTAAGAGCATGATCAAAGAGTAACTTTTCTAACTGAATCTCCAGGGAAATACAGGGTGACAGTATAATTACCCCAGTTAGAATTTAGCCAGCCACAGAATTAATACTACCACTACTCTTGTAGGAAACAAAGAGACAGGAGAGGACTCAAAGGTCTTTAATGGCCAAAAGAGGTCAAGCCCTCAGTTTTATATCTCACCCCAGAGACACATGAGATATTTCCCCCCTGACCAGGATGCCATCCAAGGCTGTTTCTTCTATTTTTTAACTAGACTGGAGAAATAGTCATTATTTTAATAGTGCATTGCACTTAGGTTGCTAAGGTTACCTAGTGACCCTAAGACCTGAAGCCTGAGCAGGTAATCACAGTGGAAAAGACAGCTTGGTTTCCCTTGCCATGGCTGTGAATAGAGAAATGGCTTTGCCTGCAAAACCTTGCTGTTTTGAGGAGAAAGACATACAGGATAAATGTGTCCTTTAAGGGTGAACATTCGGTGTTTCTGGCTGCATTGCCATGAATGAAAAGCCCTTGGCATTGGGAGGCTCAGCAGATTGTGAGGTGGGACGGTCCCCAACCTTTTCCTTAGTATCGTGCCCAACAGCAGAAGTAACTAGGGGCCAAGCCAGGAACTTCTCTCTGCTCTGCTCCTACTTGCCTTTTAGGTGCTGATACGGTTTGGATTTGTGTCTCTGCCCAAATCTCATATGAAATTGTGATCCCCAGTGTTGGAGGAGAGGCCTGGTAGGAGGTGACTAGATCATGGGGGCAGATTTCCCCCTTGCTGTTCTCATGAGAGTGAGTTTCCAGGAGATCTGGCTGTTTAAAAGTGGGTGGCACCTCCCCCGCTCTCTCTTCCTCCTTCTCTGGCCATGTAAGATGTGCCTGCTTCCCCTCCTCGGTCCACCATGATTATAAGTTTCCCGAGGCCTCCCCAGCCTTGCTTCCTGCACAGCCTGCAGAACCGTGAGTCAATTATAAATTACCCAGTCTTTGCTTTATAAATTACCCCGTCTCAGGTAGCTCTTTATAGCAATGCAACAACAGACTAATAGAGGTGCATCCCTATCTCAGAATCCCACAGAGTCACTGTGAGGGTCTCAAGGTCAGAGGAGCTGTGGAGAAAACCCTGTGCTTCCCTCCAAAGGAAAGCCCAGTGAAAAGCTTTTCTAGAACTCCTTTGTAGGCTATTTTATGAAAGTTGATCAAAAGTTTTCAAGTGTTCACACATCCTTAATTAGTAGCATCTTGGGTACTTCCACCAAGATGCAGGAGGCACCCATGCCCTCAAGAAAAGCAGGCTAGATCTGGGCATTTTCTTCCTTTATAGAAGGGAGGTTTGAAGAATAATTTTACAATTAGATAACATTAAGGATGATGAAAGCTAGAGAGCGGAAAGCAGCCAGAATTAATTACTTACTTGAGGGTCTGCTCAGGCCTCTTTGGCAGTGTTCATGCTGATTTTATTATGGCAAATTAACCCTTGATATTCAACTCCAGGAGAGCTCAGTACAGCTGCAGACTCCAGGGCCCCTCCAAATGGAGAGTTCTGTTTCTTGAGCTCACCATCCCCCACAAGCTCTTCTCCAGCAATGGCCTCCCCACCAGGCCACTCCATTTCCTCATCATTTTCATTCTCTTAATTTCATTTGTTTGATCACTAAGTGGACATGATATTTCCAGAAAGAAAACTACTTTGGAAAACATTATTGCTGCAACTTCCAGTCCTCTGTCCCTCTTCAGGTCCCTGAAAGTAATTCACGTATGTCTGCCCTATAAGAGATGGATGCTTGTCTGAATAAATAAATAAATTATGTACAACAATTTAAAATTCCTGCCACTCCTTTATCTAGCACTTATTTAAGCAACATTGATTAAATACCTTACTATGCACAGGGAGCTCTTTTGGGGTTATGAGGAGTACAAACATGTATAAAATGTGGCTCCTGACATCAAAAACATAGGTAAAGGTAGATATGAGTTAAAAAGTTTATGTATTCTGTTTTAGAAAATTATGTCATATTTTCATAAAATAGCATAAAACTACTACAGTGAGAATGCTGCTCTCAATATAAATACTTGTGTTTCTTCAAGGTAAAAAGTATTTGGAAAAACACAGGAAAATAATTACTTCAGTGACCATCTTTTATAGAAAGACTATTTTGGATTAAACTAATCCAAGAAACCAAAAATGTCTGAACAATGCCAGGACACTAATGAAATTTCTAGCATCCCTGTGAGTTGGATCAGAAGCATCATTATCCGAACTCAAATGTGTAGAAACTGAGATATATGTCATCTACTTTCAAAAGAAATGTGAAGCTGCTTGAATTAAAAGCAGATACATAATAAAAACATGAGCATTTAGTAGAAAAACAGAGAAGCATGTCAGGAAGTGAACACATATATTAAAAACCTAAAATAACATAATTCCTGTGATTAAGTGTTAAATTCAGCACTGAACTAACCCCCATTGTTCAAAGGAAAATTGGAAATATGATAAGAATACAATTCCCATTTCATAATGGAAAATCTTATACTCCCTATTTTGGAGACAAAATTTTTCCTTGTACAAGGATCTATGTTTGAATAACATAAGGAATGTAATTTCAGCAACCATCTTATAAAACGCACAGGAATGTTTTCTATGTGATTGTTCTTACACTGAGTCTGAATAAACATTAAGAAAAAGACAATTCAATAAAAAGAGGAAAAAGATATGTACAGACATTTCATCAAAAAATATACAAATAATAAGCACACAAAAAGATGTTTAACATCATTAATGATCAAGGAAATGCAAATTTCAACTTCAATGAAATAGTGCTTTACACTCATTAGAATGGTTAAAGTTAATGACTGAAATTCCAAGGATTGATGAAGATGTGGAACAACTTGAACTTTCATATATTGTGGGTGGGAATGCAAAATGGTAGAAGAATTTGGGGAAACAGTTTGACAGTTTTTCATAAATATAAATACCCTTACCATATGACAGAGCAATTTCCTTCCAGGGTATTTATCTAAGAGAAATGAAAATGTAAGTACACACAAAGACCTTTACATAAATGTCATTAGCAGCTTTGTAATAGAGCCCCAATCTGGCCAAAACCCAAATGTCCACCCACTGTTAAATGGATAAATACATGGTTATAGAACTCTGTAGTATTCATACATAGTTAACAAAACAAAGTTGACTCTCCCATCTTTGAGTGTACATTCTCATGAAGAAGACAAGTAAGCAAATAAATATAAGAATAGTGGCAAGTAGTAAATAATATTATAAGGAAAAATAAAGATGATCACAAATAGAAAGTAAAAGGGTGGGAGAAGGCAAGAGTTGAGATTTTCAGACATTTTAGGGTGGGTTGTCAAATAGCACATGAGTATGTGCTATTTCAGCATAGCAATGAAGAAAGGAAAGAAGTAAGCTAAGAAAATGTCTGGGCGTGTCTGGGCAGAGAAAACAGAAAGTTCAAAGACCTCACAGAGGGATGCAATATGGTGTGTTAGATGACAGAAAGATATTCTGTGTATCCAGACCACACCAAACAAGAAAAAGAGAGTGGAGACAGAGCATGTTGGCTGTGTGAGCCTTGGTGAGAAACAGGTGCCACAAGGAGGGACACAGTCATTTTCTATTTAGTGTTTTACGAAGCTTGTCTTCCCAATCTGAGATCAATGGCACTAGAACTGTGATAGCACTTAAACATGCAGCACAGTTGCATGCAAATGGCTGTGCGCTCTTTGATCCTCTCTCAGAGGGACAGAGGTCAAAAGCAGTTTCAGCACTACATGTAGAGTTTGTGATTAACAATAAGCAACTGGTTAAGAAAATCGGAAAGCAACATATATTTTTGAATCCCCAAGAAAACTTTTAAACCAGCTACCACATCTAAAGCAAGTTGGAGCTTTGACATAAGATGTACCGTTGCTGTGGCAACATTAACACCACTCCGTCTACTAACTGTCAGAGCAAGGTGTGGACAGAACATGCTTTAGTGATTTTACCATCTTCTGATGTAAGGAGGAATCCAGGGAGATGTTATCTCAAGTAATTGTCACTTATTCTTAGGAAAACATTCTCAGAGGAATAGCAGTTCCTAAATCAGTCCTTCATCTTCTCTCACGTAAGGAACACTGACTATTTTAAATCCCTAGCCAAGATCTGTGATCTTCCTTCCTTTCTTCTGTGTTTCCTTCCTTCCCTTCAATTATTTATTTCTCAATTATGTATTGACCACCCACTATGTGTTAGAACTATTCTAAATGCCAGAGATATTGTGGTAGATAATGCAGCCAAAACCCCGGATTCATGAAGCTCACATTCTAATGAGAAAGATAGTTAATAAATATGTGAATAAATAGTATAATATAATATAATATAAACAGAGGTAGTGTTAAGTGCTATAAAATAATATTGTATGAGCAGAAAGAGTGAAGATTCATATGGTTTTTTAGAAGGGATAATCAAGGAAGACTGTATGGATTGCAATATAAGTAGAGACCTGAAGGAATTGAGGGAGTGAGGGTTCCAATATTTGAAAAGGGGGAACAAGCATGAGGAATCTGATGTTGGAATATATTTGGATTATTCAAGGAACTGTGAGGAGAGAGGAGTGGGGAGAGTGGCAGGGGAGGATATTAGCAAGATTCAGTTTCTGCAGGGCCTTGTCATAGATGGAGAGATGTTGGGTTTTATTTTAAGCATGATTATGGGATGCCATTGGAGGATTGGGTTGCTAACTGGGAATGTCAAAATCTTGTAAATATTTAAAAAGTACCACTCTGACTGTGGAGCAAAAAAAAAAATTGTGTAATATAAATGTTCGTGAGAAAAGTCGAAGCAGAAAAGATTAAGAGGTTACTTCCCTATTCCACGTTAGAGAGGATGATGACTTAGATGAGAGTGGTTGTCTTCATACATTATGTAGCATTGGAATTTAGCCTTGAACGATGGTGTGTAAGGATTATATTCATCGGAGGAGAAATGTGATTGCCATGATTAAGCCATATAAGGAATTAGATTATTTTTCTATGAAAAAAAAAGGCCGGGGAATATGCAGTTCAGAACAAGTGCAGCTGCTCAAAGAAGTCACCAAAAACACGGGCTCCCTTTTGCTTCCTACAACACTATCCTTAGCATGTGCTCCTCATCCTCTTGGTTGCAAGATGGCAGCTTCACGTCCAGGCATAGCAGCCACATTCCAGACAGGAAGAAGAAGGAAACATCCAGGAAAAAGGAGCAATGCTTCTATCAGGAAAGCTCTTGCATCTGTTGTATTGGTCTGACTTGGATGACATGACTAACCCAGGAGGCAAGAGATTCCAAAGATGGGAATATTTTTAATGAGGCTTATTTCTACCACAAACAAAGTTGGGACTCTATTGGTAATAAAAAAGAGAAAATTGCTATTTGGTAAGGAACCAACAGTGTCTACCATGAATGGTAGGATTTCCACAGATGAGGAGCACATGGAAGGTGAAATAATTCAAGAGAAAGGGGAGGCAGAAGACAAGAATGAAGGGTTAAAAACAGTATAGGTATTAAAAAAAAAAAAAAGATGGGATCATGGGATCATCAGAGAAGTCTGTGCCATCCAGCTGGCTCAGTTTTAGGAGTAGTAACTATTAGATAAATCGAGAACGTTGGTTCAAGTCAGGCCATGAGGGTGCTAAAGGCATTTGGACTTCACGCAACAGGCAAACTAACACCACTGCAAATTCAAGAGAATTAAAGAAAATCATTAGACGCCTGCACAATAACAATCTCTAGCCCTCAGGGCCCTAGTAAAGACACACTGAGATAATTTGTGCAAAGTGCTTAGCCCAGTTCCTGGCACACAGAGGAATGAATACCATTATTACATGATACACTAAAACGGAGAAAGACCACAGGTAGGGAGCCCGGTTAGGAAGCTTTTCCAGAGCACAAAGAGGAACAGAGGGCCAGAAGCAGTCTGGATGAAAGGAAGGTTTTCATCTTACAGCAAACATGTGAGAGCCACTGGAAAAGTAAAAGAATGAGGCTGCTTCTCACGTATTGGAAGGGAGGGGGAGGAAGCACCTAAGATGTTTGCTGTGATCCATGTTCTAAATGAACACTGACATCGGTGTGGCAGAAAATGTCATTCCATATATTAATTTGTGTTTTATTTTAACCTAGGCAGAAATAAATCAGAGGTATTTTTTCCACTGCTGTACCAAAAGCTCTTTGTGTTCCGAGCCTAGCCTTTCTGAACTAACAAGGTAGTTAACGTCTTCTTATTGAAAGGCTAAAAACAGAAATTGAAAGTACCCACAAGGAAATCTCCCACTCAGGCTGTGATTTGGGGAGTTTAGATCTATTAAGGAAAGCTTGGACTGGGAGTGGAAGGGGATAAAAGGCCAGAAAGAAGATGAGAAAGGTTTATTTGCCTAAGACTTAGCAAGGTTCTGGTGGCTCCTGGAGGGATGGGTACCTCTGTCCTCCAGAAGCTCAAAAACGAAAGAGTTTTCTTTTGGTTTGACACAAAATCAGGAAGAGGAAGGCTGACAAAACTAATAGGTGGGATGCAGAGCAGAGAGACCAGGCAGCAGGGTGGTCTTAGCAAATAGAGGGGGTGCTGAGGAGGTGTGGGTTAGGGGGCCCCCTCTCTGAGATGACAGAGCACGGTGGAGGTGGGGGCATTTTTTTTTTTTTTTTTTTTTTTTTTTTTTTTTGAGACAGAGTCTTGCTTTGTTGCCCAGGCTGGAGTGCAGTAGTGCCATCTCGGCTCACTGCAAGCTCCGCCTCCCAGGTTCACGTGATTCTCCTGTCTCAGCCTCCAGAGTAGCTGGGACTACAAGATGCACACAACCATGCCCGGCTATTTTTTTGTATTTTTAGTAGACAAGCAGTTTCACTATGTTGGCCTGGCTGGTCTCGAACTCCTGACTTCAGGTGATCCGCCGACCTCAGCCTCCTAAAGTGCTGGGATTACAGGCGTGAGCCACCGCACCGGGCCGGGGGCGTTTATTTAATCCCTGGCTCCCATGCGACCCAGGGGCAGGCTGGGGCAGGACCCACCACCCCAGCATGTCAGATGCAAAATCCTCAGGCAACGGCGCGTCCGTACTGCCAGATGCTGGGAGGGGTCACTTCACGTACGTGTTCATCTCACTCCATCTAAACAACGAAACCTCCTTTAGTAACATATTTTGGATGCTTAAGGAGAACCACTGGCCGACACATTGTTTGAGAAGTCAAGGAGCCTAACAAAACGGACTGCTGCATTGTAAAGATCTGGTGATTTCTGACCTCCAGCAAAGTTGAGAAATTAACCACTCTAGCTCCTCACCTTGTGACCTCCCCAAACTTTAAAGATGACAAGTGTGAATGGCAACCCCACATCAGGGGCCTGCAGGTCAGGTCGGCTGCAATAGGCGAAAACGGATCCATGTTAGTCCAGATTTAAAACGTCATTTTAAGATTTTATGTTCAGGCCATAAAACAAAACAGATTTATGATAGAAATAAAATACAGCTCCTTTCCTTAGAGCCTGGTCACAAAAGCCTCCTTTTTTTTTTTTTTTTTCATCCTGAGTACCATACACGTCGTTTGATAAGAAAGTGCGTCAGCCTCCCACCCTGTGGGGAAAGAGCAATAGCCTGACTGCTGAGCCCTCTTTTTTTCTATTGCGGACGTCTTAATTGGTCCCAAGCTGATTTGGAGAGAAAAAGCCTGGGATTCCCACCTGGAGAAGGGACTTCCATTATGACTGAAGAGCAGGGAATTACTCCGGGGAGGGGAAATGCCTCCCCCTCACTGCGAGGAAGCTCTCTCCTTTGACACATTCACCCAGTGCAAGGAGCCCGTGCTGGAGCAAGACATCTCTCTTGCAAATCAAAGTGTGGAAGCTGCCACCAGCTGCCCCTTCACTTTGCTCAATCCGTTTTTGGTTAACTAATTGAATTTCCCTTTTATATTCTCCATGCTTGCTTCAGGCTGGCAGGCAGCGGTGCCACTGGCAGCCCACTTCTACGTATGAATTGGCTGCCACACGCGCCACAGTCAGCTACTTCGTGAACTCTCTGTATGCTAGTTCAGAGAGCACTGTTCTGCCATCATCTCACCATGGCACTTCCAAATGGTTGGGTATAATTGGGTTCAGAGGAGTTCAAAGCCATGCTCCAGCATCCTTGTATCAAAGCTCATTGAGCAACAGGGGAACCGTGCACTGAAATGCAGGCATGGGGTGAGGAGAGTTATTAGTGGAATACATTCAAATCTGTCACGCTAGATTCCTGGGTACACAACTGGCTTTTGGTTCAGCCCTTAAGAGTTCAGGTGTGGTCCCCAGGAGATGGCTCCTATAATCGCTGTAAAAATATCTCATTTGTACTAATGCACTTTGCCTATTTCATAGCGGATCCTTGTGAGACTAATTTACATTTTTTTTTAAATGTCAAGGCTTTCTCCAGAGATTGTTCATTCATTATATTTATTTTCTTGGACGTGATTTTAACAAACCTTCCCCTGAAGAGCTTGTAGCTATTAACTTTACCGAACAGTTGTTCAAGAGAGAGTTAAAGGCAAATGGTCTAAGGGAAAGGATAGGGCCAGCGCACCTCAGGGGTATTCATCTGCCCCCAAACTCATTCCATTAGTTCTTCCTTCACAGGCCATGAGCAGGAAGAGGGAGAGGAAACGCCTGCTATCCTTCAGTGGGACAGGAGATTCCTGCCAGGGCTAACCACCACATTCCGGCACATTCTCATTTTAGTGGACCGTACTTTGGGACCTCAAGAACAGAAATCATGTCAAGGGAGTGTTATCAAGGGATTCCGGAAATGAATGAGGGGAGTATGAATTACTTGGGTGTTAGATGGCTGCATGATCTGTCCTCAGTTAATTAGAGTCTCTTGTCAACTCCACAATTGTAATAGCTCCAGCCCACACCTTTGGGAATTTCCCTCTTCCCAGAATACACACTGCCCACCTCCAACGTTTAGAATCTGGGACTCTTACAGTTAAAGTGGTCCTAAATGTCTCCTGAAAAACTCCCTATTCCATGGAGGAATGTCCCCTGTTACACAACTGATTGAGCGGGGGCAAAGAACGGGAGCATCCTTTCTTTGAATGCTCTCCACACCTAGAAGTCCACCTTCTCTTAAGGCAGTGGTGTCCCTTCATTTAACAGTCCGAATGATTGTAAGATTCTCCCTTCTGGGAACTGAATTCTACTGCCAGTGTTATCATCATTTCAGTCTCTCTTTTGGAGTAGTAGACAAGTATTCACTCTTATTCTCACAAAAAATAGCTCCTCCACCAAAAGAAGTACACATTTTATGTTTGTTCACCATTCATGCATTCCAAAAATATCCATTAAGTTCTTCTAACATGCCAGGCCTGGGCTGGGTGCTGGGGACGTGACGGTTGTGTCTCTCTCCTCACGAAACTCAATCTCCAGGGAGGAGTTTTTTGTTTGTTTGTGGGTTTTTCTTTTTTTTTTTTTTTTTTTTTTGAGACGGAGTCTCACTCTGTCGCCAGGCTGGAGTGCAGTGGCACAATCTCAGCTCACTGCAACCTCTGCCTCCCGGGTTCAAGCAAGTCTCCTGCCTCAGCCTCCCGAATAGCTGGGACTACAAGCATGTGCCACCATGACTGGCTAATTTTTTTGTATTTTTAGTAGAGATGGGGTTTCACCATGTCGGCCAGGATGGTCTAGATCTCTTGACATTGTGATCTGCCTGCCTCGCCCCCCCCAGAGTGCTGGGATTACAGGTGTGAGTCACCATACCCGGCCCTAGGCAGGAGTTTTAATCTAGGGTAGGAGCTATACTAAATTCCACGTTTGCCTTGATTTACTCCCCTCTAGAGATAACGTTTCATGTCCTTAAATGCTTTCCAAATAAAGCATCATGCTTCACCCTCTGGATACATTCTCTAACCACGATGCAATTGATACGTGCTGCTGAGAAATGGACACAGATCTTCACATTTGTCTCACTTTTGTTTCTTCTAGCATTTCAGCCTAATCCAGCATTCACAGCATTCACATGATTGTGATTTCATTTATGTGAAGGAAAACCTACTGTACCTTGTTCTGAAACAGTAGAGGAAGAAAGGTGTGGCCAGGGTTGAAGAATGGTTAGACTTAACTGATACAATCAATCCCCTTTTGACAATATTAGTGAATGGGGTCTAAACTCAGGCGGCAAACAATTTAGGTGAGAGGTCTTTTTGGAACACTGTGCAGAGCATACTTCAGACACTGCCGGCTCTGATCCCCCAGGCAATGCTGGCCATACTTGGAAATCACAGCAGTTGTAAGTCTTTTTTCTATGCACTTATTTAGAACATGTTTTTATTCATAATTAAGAGTCCTTAAAGCATTTACCGAAGCAATTTCAAAGCAGACTTAGGAAGAAGGGAAATAATACAAGTCACAAAATTGTCTGGAGCTCCCCTCTGCTCACCCTCTTTCTGGGGGCAGGACTCACTCTGCACTCAGTCACAGCTGACCTCTCCATCTTTCCTGACTTCAAGCGGGAGTGGTTCCATTATCACTTCTGAGTGACACTTTCTCTGACCTCAACTAAAGTAGCATGTGTCATCAGCCTCTCTTCCTTACCCTGCTTTTTCCTCCTCCTCCTCCTCCTCCTCCTCCTCCTCCTCCTCTCCCTACTCCTCCTTCTTTTTTTCTTTTCTCCTCATCCTCCTTCTTCTTCCTCTTTTAGCAATTATAAGTAACCAAAATTAGATTATTTTGTCTTTATTTATTTATAAATTGTCTTTCTGTTTCAATAGGTCATAAGCTCCAGGAGGCCAGCAACTTTGTTTAGTCCCTCAATCCTCAATACTCCAAAGAATGCCTTGTATATATCACCATTATGTTGAATGACTGAGTAGATGGATGGATGTTGGGGAAATCTGTTAAATGGAGGAAGAAATACCTGCATTACCCAGTCCCAGACCATAGGTACCTAGATATCCAGTAGCAGTGTATATTTTATGTGTAAGTGAAATATTATTTTGCAACTGCTGTCCCTTTTAAGATTAGGGAAGATTGCAGCAAACTCTTACTCTAAATTTATGCACAGCGCAATGCCCACTTTAAAATTCCACAAATTTCCAGGGCCGCCTCTGGCTCTGAGCTCCTTCTTCTTCCACTGAGTCAGTGTGTGTGGTGGATGGATAATCTCATGTTTTTTCTTCAGGGTACATCTATTCAGCCCTGGAGTTCAAGTTTCCCTAATTTTCACAGAAAACTACTCACATGCAGTGCTATGGAGAGGTTTGAGAAGACAGGCAAAAAAAGTCCAGCTGCTCAATTTCCCTGCCATGTGGCTAAGCTCTCATCTCCTCTCTCCCTTCTCTCCATTTCCCATTTTACCTCTCTTTCCTGCCTTCTCAGGGGCAAAGGAATGAATTCTGCTTTCTGACGCAGAACAATCAGGCAGTTTCCCCATCTGCCTCCCAACTTAACTCTAGTCCTATCTTCCTATATGGAAAGAATAGTCAAAGGCTCGAATCTTCACCCTCATCATCACAGCAGCAGGCAGAATTCTACAGAAGCCCTCCTCCAAGATTCCTGTCTTCTGGTTATTCAGTCAAACACTAATGAAGGCTCTGCTGGGAAGAGGTTTTGAAGATGTAGTTAAAGCACAAATCAGTTGACCTTAAGATTCAGAGATTATCTGAGTGGGCCTGACTCCAACAGGTGTGTCCCTTAGAATCAGAGCATTTTCTCTGGCTACCAGCAGGTGAGGAAGTCAAAGAAGTTCAAAGCACAAGGGAGATTGAACACACCATTGCTGACTTGAAGATGGACCAGCCCACGAGAAGGAATGCAGTGGCCTTGAGATGATGGAAGCCTCCAGCTCATAGCAGGCAAGGAAACAAGGGTGTCAGCCCTACGGCTGCAGGGAACTAAAGTTGGCCAACAACCTGAATGAGCTAAGAAGCAGATTCTTCCCGAGAGCCTCCAGATAAGAACCCAGCCTAGCCAACACCTTGATGTTGGCCTTGAGAGACCCAGAGCAGAGAATCTAGGTGAGCTGTGCCAGATGTGTGACCCACAGAACTGTGAGTAATACATTTGTGTTGCTTTAAGCTGCCACAGTTGTGGTAATTTCTTACACAGCAATAGAAAACTAATACAAGTACCATCATTTTCATCACTTAGCATGTCCCAGGCCCTGTGCTAAGCACTTTACATGATTATCTCATCTAATCCTGGCACCAACCACTACTTGGATAATACAAATATCCTTATTTTAAAGGCCACAGAGGTGTTTAGTGCGAAGTCTAGATGTATATATAGTAAGTGGTAGAACCATAATTCAAATCCA